>NT_167249.2:600000-862502 GCF_000001405.40 Homo sapiens | reverse complement strand
GGCCAGCAGCGGCGGCACCACGCTAGTAGTGAAGCCCGCGTCTACCAAGGCCAGGTGGCAGAGGAAGTAGTACATGGGCGTGTGCAGGCGCGGGTCGCGCACCGCCAGCAGCACCAGCGCCGAGTTGCCCGTCAAGGTCAGGAGGTAGCACAGGAGGACAAGGGCGAAGAGGACCGGCTGCAGGGAAGGCCAGTCGGAGAAACCCAGCAGGAGAAAGCGCTCCTCTGCGCTGTAGTTGGCCTAAAGGAGGAAAACTCCCAGAATGTTTGGAAGGTCGAAATAAAAAAGGGTGACTACCCCTTATAAGCAAAGGGAAAACCTTGGAGTGTGGGGCTGGGCTGGGAGAAGGAATGGAATCATATACAAGGTCAGTTTGTGGATTGTAATCCCATTTACAGATGAGATTACTTAAAAATAAACTCCCTAAGAATAAGAGCAACACTCCAAGCTTGGCGTGGCCAACACTCGGTAGGCAGAATGATCACCTCCGTTGTTTCAGGTACTCTGTGTTTATTTATGCAACAGTTCATGTAAAATGGAGACGAGGCCAGAAGAATCCTTGAGCAGACAGAGCCAGTTGGGCCTCCTAAGTGACCTTAACCTTGCTTGATTTGCAAGCATGTCTGAAACTTTATTTGTGGTATTTCTTGTAAATGCCTATGTTAAAGAAACACAGAACTTAAGCTCAACCAATCAGAAGCAGCCAACAAAAACGTAATTAGTAACTAGGACTTCCTCATGGGATAGACCAAATAAGGCAACTGTATAACTGTGTAACTGTATAACTGTAACCAATGAAATATTATCTTTGCTTTTATCTATTTGTCCTAAAAAGCCTCCTCCTCATGTTCTCTCTGGGGAGCTCCCTAGCCACTTCTGGCTTGGAGCTGCCCAATTCATGGATCACTGCTCAAATAAACTCTTAAATATTTTATTGGGCCTTAGTTTACTTTCTAACACAACCCATTATACGGCTGATTACTGATTTTTAATTTGTTGTGAATAGAGACTACTCCCAACGTCCATGCCCCTCCCACTGAGGGGAGATCAGCACACGTATACTAGCCTTTAAATCAGGAATAAGTTGGGTAGAAAAAAAGAACACTTTCTGGTAGACTAGAATATCAGGACATCTTGGTTTTACCTACATAGCTCCCTTTAGCCAGTTATATGATATGGGGAAATCTTCATTTCCCTCTGTCTCAATTTTTTCATATGTAAATCAAGGAGTTTGAACTAGATGTCATCTAAGTTTCCTGTCCCAAATCCTTGGCTTTACTATCAAATATTAATCCAAAAATAAAATAAAAAGAGAACCCCAGGGAACAAAAGGAACCTCATTCTCCAAGGGTCTTGTTGAACCAAGTGTCTTAATGGTACAGAAACATATGGGTTATGTAATGGATGAAAGTTTATGTGATGGACAGAAATCTTTCTGCTGCATGACTCCTGACATAAATTATTATATGGATAACTTATTTTTCACATCATATTCACTGCTGTAAATTACAAAATCACAATAACCTAATTTTTCATTTTTCAGAGGGAAAAAACACTGCTCCCTACCAAAACATCCTGTTTGATTTTATGTTTCACTCATTTTATCCTCACTGGGCAGAATAAGCATTAATGTCATAATTAAGAACCAGGGCTCAGCAGCCAGACTGCCTGGGTTTGAGTCCTGGCTCTGCCATTTTCTAGCTGGAAAACCTTGGGTATGTTACTTAGCCTCTCTCTGCCTCAGTTTCCTCATATGAAAATAGAAATATGTTAAGTGGGCTAAATATGAAAAGCTGTTAGAACAAGGCCTGGCACATAGCAGTTGTTAACTGTCATCCTTTAATAAATGCTAACTATCGTCATATCTGTTTCCCAAATTAAGAAACAGGTTTTTAAGGGGTTCTTATGCTAGGCAGTGATACAACTGCTATGAACATTTACATCTCTTTTCATTTATTAACTCTAATCTTAACTCACTTGAATATTAGGCAATAGCCTTATTTTATAGAGTATGTTAGGAGAGTAACTGAAGTTAAATTACTTGCCCAAGGCCACATTATTTGTAAATGCTTAATAGGTTTTCCACTTATATTTGACTAACTTCGAGGTCCTTCCTGTTTGATCAACCAGGATCCACTGTGCTAGAGACTGTGGAGTATGAAAGGACATGCAAAGTCTTACCTATATTTATAGATCATTTTATAATTTGGGGTCATATCAGAGATGAATAAAGTAGGAGAGGTGACATTCAGGCTTACAGACCAATGGTGGCTAGAGATGTTGAGTTACAAAAGGTCAAATTCTTTAATGCGGTGATTACACGGACACATAACTGTTCAGCCTGGCAAGCTCTAAACCATTCCTCTTCAAATATGCCACACCATGAAAACAGGCACACAATAATAAAACTGCACAGATAACATTCTTGTTACATGTATGCACAAATTCCCCAAAACATAGGCATGTGTGCACCTGTACACATAAACCCATCATCTCCCTCACACATCTAGAAGACAAATCTGTTGTGAAATATATAATATAATGTGTCATCAAACTTCACTTGGTATTTCAGAATGTGGCTCTCGGCACAAGACCATTGTGTTGTAGGGCACTGTAATACCCAACTTACCTTCATGACTAATCTTTGGCACTAATGTTTACACCTTGAGTTTCCAGATGATAGGTTGGTCTCTTGCTCCTGCTCTGGATTCTCTGGATTTGAAATGGAGTTGGGAGTATTTAATAAAAGATGCAATTGCATAGCTGTGTTGATTTCTGGAATGGATGCCTGGGATCAGAGCCAGGTATTTCAGGAAGAAGACGAGGGGTGGGTGTCATTGTGCTTGTAAATAGAGGAATAAAAAGAACGGGTAAGAAAGAACCTACATTTGTGAAATTTCAGGATCTAGGCAGAGGTGGTGATGTCTGTTCCTGGAGAACCTTGTAATGGGGTACAGACCAGACAAGGACCTGGGCCTTGTGCTGGTAGCAAATCAGCATTAGCTGGTGGTGGTAGCAAATATCCCTCCTGGATCTAAAGGACACAGTTAGAGAGGAGGAAGCATGCTGATGAGTGCTCTCACTAGAGAAAAAACAGGGGACTCAACGTTCCCTGTTATTTAGAAGAGAGGATGGAGCTCTGGGGAATAGATGTCCCACTCCTATCATTAGTACTTTGCATGAAGGTGTCCGGAGAGGAGTCCCCAAGAGTGGGGAAGAGGAAATTCTGGAGGGAAAGTCCCTTTAGGGTAGTGTGCCTCTGGCAGTGTATGAAGGCCAAAGGCAGCGTAATTCCCTCTCATTAATATTTCTACTATTCAATTGGAACTGGTTTAGAATTTCATTCTCTGATGGAGTGACCTTAAGCTAATTGTTTAACTTCAGTGACTCTCAATGTCATCATCTGTAAAACAAGGAAAATAACCCTTTCTGTCAGGAATTTTGTAGATTTGTTGAAGTCATTATTAGTTTTGAATGTAGCTTTGACTGTTATGTCATCAGCTTTGCTCCAAAGTCCACCTCCCCACTTGTGGCTCTCATCATTCTCTTTCCCTTTGCTCCTCCTTCGTCCTTGAAGATTTTTGTCCCTGATCCCCTCTCACTCTCTCCAGTACTGTGATGATTCTTGGTGAATTCAGTATCCTCATAGATTATCTTTCTATACTTTCCTCTCAGTTTCTTCCTCAGTGAGAGGTCCGCAAATTCATCGTGGCCCCTCACGCCCCTTGTATCTTCAGTTCTCTATCAAGCTTAGACTGTCTCGTCAATCACTATTACTCCTTTGCATACATCAATGTTCCTGCCCTTTTCACTTGTTACACTCTTTCAGCTAAATTGCTTTCCTATTTAAATCCAACTATAGTCCTACTCTCTCCCTATATTTGTTCAGCTGACTGTGGCCGAAGGAAAGCCAATAGCCACACTGAGAGGTTTCACTTTACATTCATGACCACTACTTTAAGAGGAAGGGGCTAATGTCATTGATAATCATATTTTCCTAGTCCACTCACTTTCCCCTCTCCTACGTAACTCATGCATACTTTCTGGTCTCCCCTCAAATCCCCAGTACTCCTCTCTCTCAAATAATATCATCTTTCTCAGATAAAAATTTTACTTCATTTTTTACTGAAAAAATGTAAAGCAATAAAAAGAGAAGTTCTTACTAACCCATCTGTTCACCTACTTGCATCTGTGCTCACATATGGGACTCCACCTTTTCTTCTGATACTGCTAGGAATATACTATTTTGCATCTGTCTGATGCCAGTACCCCCACTTGCCCACTATATTCCATCCCTTTCCACTTATTCAGGGACATTACTCTAATCTTTCCCCTCTTTCCTGTAATATAATTTGTCCTTCCAGTGGACCATCCCCATCAATACATAAACATACTTTGATTTCACTCATCAGAAAATAATCTTCTCTTGACTTCACTTCCCCCTAGCTACCATCCAAGTCCTTGAATTCTCTTTCGGGTTGGCTCCAACAAGGTTTCTGCACTGGAAACCTTTCATCGAAGGTCACAAACTGACCTCCACATTGATA
The DNA here is from genome assembly GCF_000001405.40 of Homo sapiens. NCBI lineage: Eukaryota > Metazoa > Chordata > Mammalia > Primates > Hominidae > Homo > Homo sapiens. The sequence continues at coordinate 857,955 of NT_167249.2, read as the reverse complement.
TAGTAGTTTTCAGTCCTCATGTTACTTGACCTGTTAGAAGCTTTTCAATAGAGTGGACTTAGCTTTCCTTTTTGGAACATGCCTTTCACTTCTGCTATGGACTGAATTGTGTCCCCCCCCAAAATTCATATGTTGAAAATCTAATCCTCAATGTGATGGTATTTGAAATGGGCATTTTAGGAGGTAATTATAGTTAAATGAGGTCACAAAGGTGAGGGCCAAATAGGATTAGTTTCCTTATAAAAGAGGAAAGGCCACGTGAGGAGGCAGCAAGTAGGGAGTTGTCTGCAAGCCAGGAGGAGAGCCATCACCAGGAACAAAATCAGCCAGCATCTTGATCTTGAACTTCCCAGCCTCCAGAACTGTGAGAAATCAACTTCTGTTGTTGAAGCCACCCAGTTTATGGTATTTTGTTATGGCAGTCTGAGCTGACTGACAGCTTCAAATCACCAAAGTCTCCCAGCTGCTCCTTCTTAATCTCCTTTATTGGTTTCTCCTCCTCCCTGCTGTGCCTAGGGTTCAGTCCTCTTTCCTTTTTTACATGCACTTCCGTCATCCAGTCTTATGACATTGTACACCATCTATATGCTGATGACTCCTAAATTTATATTTCCAGGCTGGATTTTTCTCCTAACCTCCAGATTCCTATGTCCAATTGTCTACCCACCAGCAGCTTTTGGTATCTAATACACATCTCAGATTTAACATGCCATAAACTGAGCTCCTTACTACCCACCCTCTCCCCCACAATGTGCTTCTTCTGTAGCCTTTCTCATCTCCCGTAATGAAAATCCATTCTTCTAGTTTCTCAGACAAAAATCTTGTGATACTGACTCTTCTTCATCTCACTCACATATAATCTACCCACAAATTCTATTGGCTCTACCTGCAAAAATATGTTGTGAAACTGACAAATCGTTATCACTGTTAGGACCACCACTCTGGTCTGTCCTTGTCAACATCTCTTGCTTGGATGATTGAAATAATCCTCTGGTTCTTCCCTTAACCTTTAGTATATTCTCAACATGGAAGCCAGAGTAACCCATTTATAACAACTCAGATCATACCACTTCTTATCTCAAAATCTTTCAGCAGTTTCCATGTTACTCAGAAAGAAAAAGCCTAGTCACAAGATCTAAAGATCAGTGCCCTCCACCTCAGTACTACTGACGATTTTGACTGGATCATCCTTTGTTGGGGGTGCTGTCCTGTGCATTGTAGGATGTTTAGCACCATCTCGGGGCTCTACCCACTAGGTGATAGTAGTGCATCCTCTCTAATTGTGACAATCAAAACCAGCTCCAGACATTGCCAAATGTCCCAGTGGGAGGCCTAATTAGCCACGGTGAGAACTGCTGCTTGACTTAATCAGAAAAAATAAACCTCCTGCAGCTAGCTTGGTGTCTGCCTAAACAGCCTCCTAGTTTTGTGCTTGAAACCCAGGGCCCTGGTGGCATAGGCACCAGAGGGAATCTCCTGGTCTATAGGTTTCGAAGACGTGAGGAAAGCGCAGTATCTGTGCCAGAGTGCACCGTTCCTCCCCACACAGTCCCTCAAGGCTTCGGCTTCCCTTGGCTAGGAGAGGGAGTTCCTTGACCTCTTGTGCTCCCCGGGTGAGGCGATGCCCCACCCTGCTTTGGCACACCCTCCATGGGCTGCACCCGCTGTCCAACCAGTCCCAATAAGATGAACTGGGTACCTCAGTTGGAAATGCAGAAATCATCCACCTTCTGGGTCAATCTTGCTGGGAGGTGCAGACCAGAGCTATTCCTATTCCACCATCTTGCCAGCCTCCTCCCCTGGTATCTAGCTGTAATTTTGTATCCATGAACCAATCTCTTCCTATCCTTCCCTCTCTCCTCCCTTCGATCCTTCCTGTGCTCTAATAATCAAAATTCCACTCTCTATTTCTAATGAGCTCAACATTTTTTAGCTTCCATATGTGAGTGAGAACACACAGTCTTTATCTTTCTGTGCCTGCTTATTTCAGTTAACATGGTGTCTTCCAGGTTCATCCATGTTGCCATGAATGACAGGATTTCTTTTTTTTTTTCATGTCTCTGCCATTTAAAGGGGGTGTTTAATATATTTACATTTAATGTAATTACTGATAGTATAGGATTTTGACCTGTCATTTTGCTACTTATTTTCTTTATATCGTGTTTTTTATTGCTCTATTCCATTATTACTGCCTTTGTATGTTAAATAAATTTTGTTAGTGTTTTACTTAATTCTCCTTGTTGTTTCTTTTACTATACTTTTTGAGGTATTTTTTAAATATTGCCCTGGATCTTGCAATTAATAATTTATAACAATTTAGTCAGATTAATAGCAATTTAATTTCAATAGCACACAAAACCTTTGCTTCCATACAGCTCCATTCTCTTCTGCTTCTTTGTGTTTTTATTGCCGTACAAATTACATCTTTATACATTGTAGGCTTATCAATACAGATTTATAATTATTTCATTATGTATTTGTCTTTTGAATCATATGAGAGAGGAAATCGCAAACAAATTGCATTTATACTGTCTTTTATATTTACCCATGTAGTTATCTTTACTGGAGTTCTTCATTTCTTCATGTGGATTCGAGTTGCTATGTAGTGTCCTTTCATGTCAACCTGCAAGACTGCTTTTATAATTTCCCATAAGACAGGTCTGGTAATTACAGCTTCTCTCAGTTTTCAAAATCTGAGAATGTTTAATTTCTAGTTCATTTATGAAGAATAGTTTTGCTGGCTTTAGAATTGTTCATTGACAGTATTTTACTTTTGCTACTTTGAATATGTCATCCCATTGCCTCCTGACTCTGTAATTTTTCATGAGAAATTAGTTCTTATTCTTACTGAGAATCTCTTGTACATGATAAGTTGCTTCCCTCTTTTTGCCCTCAAGATTCTTTCTTTGTTTCTTGGCAGTTTGATTATAATGTTTCTATGTGTGAATCTCTTTGAATTTATTTTATCTAAGTTTGTTGAGCTTTGTGAAAGTGTAGATTAACATTTTTTCATTGAATTTGGAGTTTTTCAGCTAGTATTTCTTTAAATATTCCTTCTGTTCCTTTTATTCTATCCTCTCCTGAAAATTCTCGTTTATGTGTTTTGGTACACTGGATTGTGTCCCACAGGTCTCTGAAACTCTGTTCATTCTTCTTCTTTTTAATTCATGTTCCTCATACTGGATAATTTCCCCACCTATCTTTAAATTTACTGATTCTTTCTTCTGCCTTCTCAAATCTGTTATTGAGGCTATCTAGTGAAGTTTTTATTTCTACGATTTTATTTATCAATTACTGAATTTTATTTGTTTCTTTTCTTTTTTTTTTTTTTTTTTTTTGAGACAGAGTCTCGCTCTGTCGCCCAGGCTGGAGTGCAGTGGCGGGATCTCGGCTCACTGCAAGCTCCGCCTCCCGGGTTCACGCCATTCTCCTGCCTCAGCCTCCCAAGTAGCTGGGACTACAGGCGCCCGCCACTACGCCCGGCTAATTTTTTGTATTTTTAGTAGACACGGGGTTTCACCGTTTTAGCTGGGATGGTCTCGATCTCCTGAGCTCGTGATCCGCCCGCCTCGGCCTCCCAAAGTGCTGGGATTACAGGCGTGAGCCACCGCGCCCGGCCTTGTTTCTTTTTTAACATTCCATCTCATTATTGATGTTTTGTATTTGGTGAGATATCATTCTCATGCATTCCTTTAGTTCTTTTGACATGGTTTCCTTTAGTTCTTTGAACGTGTTTAAAATTGTTCGTCTAATATGTTCACCTAGTATGTCCAATGTCTGGTATATGCAGTCTACCAGAGGCAGTTTTGATTTTAAAATGAATAGGTTAAAAAAAGAGGGTGGAAAAAAGTATACCATGTAGAAAACTATGATGAAAGAGCTGAGACAGCTCTACTAATATTGGACAAAGTAGACCTTGAGAAAAATAGCGTTACTAGAAATAAAGAGGCATATTCTATAATGATAAAATTTCAATTTATCAGGAGGATATGAGGATTATAAACATACACACAATTAGCAACACATCCCCCAAATACATAAAACATGAAAATGACAGAATTGAGGGGATAAATAAACAAATCATTAAAAATAGTTGAAGATTTCAACACTCCATTATCAATCATTGATGGAACAACTAGATAGAAAATCAGCAAGGATACAGAGCCTGAAACATTATCAACCAACTTGACCTACTTGACAACAACAAATGAATTATACACGCTTTTGAAACACACATGGAACATTCTCCAGGATAGACTAGATGGGAGGGCACAAATTATCTATAAATTAAAAAAAAATTGAACTAATACAATATATGTATTCCAACCACAATGGAATTGAATGAGTAATCACCAACAGTTGGAAACTTCAGGAATCCACAAATAACAAGTGAAAGAAAAAAAAACACAGGGGAAATTAAAAAGAATATGCATGAAATGAAATGAAACCATAACATGTCAACATTTATGAGATGGAGATAAACCAGTGCTTAGAGGAAAATCTGTAGCTGTAAATGCCTACATTGGAAAAGAAAAATACCTCTAATCAGTAATTCAACTTTCTATGGTAAGAAGCAAGGAAAAGAAGAGAAAACTAACCCCAAAGCAAGCAGAAGAAAGGAAATAATAAAGAAGAGAGCAAGAGTAGATGGAATAGAAAATAAAACACTATAGAGAAAAGTAATGAAACCAAAAGTTGAATCATGGAAAATAACAACACAATTGACAAACCTTTAGCTAGACTTACCAAGAAAAAAAAATGGCCTCAAATTCCTAAAATCAGAAATGAAATTGGGCACATCATTACCAACTTTATAGAAATTTAAAGGATTATAAAGAAATCCTATGAACAACTTTATCCTAACATGCTAGACACCTTCGATGAAATGGATAAATTTCTAGAAAAACTAATTACCAAAATTGACTCAAGAGGAAATAGAAAATCTGTATAAGCCTACAAGAAGTAAAGACATTAAAACTGTCATTGCATATCTTCCCACAAAAAAGGCCCAGGCCCAGATGTCTCTACTGGTGAATTCTACCAAACATTTAAAGAAAAAAATAATACAATTCTATACAAACTCTTCCAAAATATAGATCAGAAAGGATCACTTCCCAACACATTGTATAGGAATGATGGAAATGTTGTAAAATCATATTCTAGTGAGTATGTACTTTTGTACATAAGGAAGTTAAGAGACACAGGGCCCCATTTGTGATCCTTTGGGAGTGTGAGAAGCACATATTTCCTACACCCATGTTCCCATTTGGAAGGGCTTCTCTGACCAGCATCAGCCACAAGTGACTTTGCTGAGTGGGGCATCCAGAAGAAGGGGCTGAATGTGGCATTTGAAGGACTTTTCCTCCTTTCTCCTTGGAATCTGACTGTCTGCATGGAGGAATCATACTCCTGGGTTCCCTCCATTAAGTGATAAGCTTCAGGAGACAGGTGTTGACCATGGGTGCCTGTGCCTATTACTTTGAGGAGTAAATTCAATTCCTGGAGAGAATAACATATAAGCAAGTGCTTTGGGGTCACAAACTGCTTCCCAGGTCATTAGGGGAGGGAGGAATAAAGATGCTATGTTGTTGGGCATTGTTTTGACTTCTCAATTTATCTCTCAATTGATTCAGAGAGATGTAATGAAAATGAACTAATTGACTTATTGATTGATCGAAATTAGTGCAACAAGGAGACATGTCTTTTCTTGCCTCATAAAAGCAAGTCAAGGCCGGGTACAGTGGCTCACCCCTGTAATCCCAGCACTTTGGGAGGCCAAGGTGGGCGGATCACCTGAGGTTGGGAGTTTGAGACCGGTCTGACCAACATGGAGAAACCCTGTCTCTATTAAAAACACAAAATTAGCCAGGTGTTGTGGTGCATGCCTGTAATCCCAGCTACTCAGGAGGCTGAGGCAGGAGAATCGTTTGAACCCAGGAGGCTGAGGTTGCAGCGAGCCGAGATTGCACCATTGCACTGCAGCCTAGGCAACAAGAGTGAAACTCCGTCTCAAAAAAAAAAAAAAGAAAGCAAGTCAGTGGTGGGGTAAACCAGGGTGAAAAATATTGGCTCCAACAAAGCACAGCCAAATCTCCCTAGGCTTGGTGAATCCAATGTAAGTTTCTGACACAGATTTACAAGAACTTCCACATCTTTTGCAAAAAAAAAAAAATGCAATTCAATTGACAGCAAAATGAAAGGAGCACATTTGAGTTCCTGGCATGCTCAAGTTTATTGACAAAATGCCCACCAGAGTTCCCTCTCCTGCCTGTCTCAGATGGGCTGGGCTGGGCTGGATGTCATTCTAGGAGATTCACACAGGGAGGCAGGTGACAACTTGTCTTAAAGATCCTTCTTTTTTGAGGGAAGTTATTGTTCAGGATGGAGTAATCAAAAGTGTCAGTGGGATGGGGGATATCAGGAGATGCTGAGATACAATGTTTCAGATAAAGGCCTGGGCCCTGATATGCAATTTGCCCCAGTACAGGAAGACCCAACAGACACAGAGAAATTGACAACCTCTTGTCAGGACCCAGTTCAAATCAGACATCGTTAGATTGCTTCCTGACCTGTGGGCAGAACTTTCATCTCTCAGGACATTGGCCTCTGTGGTACCAATTCTATCCAAGACTTCCCAGGTATGAGAAAAGATCTCTCTTCCTTCTTTCATTTTCAAACCATTTTAACTCAGAGACATATTTTCCTGGAATTTGAAACCTCATGATTTTTTACTGGGGAAGGTGCATTTCTCAGGAAAATGGGGACAGGACAGAAACCAGGTTCCTGGAGAAAGCAGGATTCGGGGTTCCAGGGTAGTCCCAGCAGGTGAGCCACAACTGTGCCCTGGCCCCTGGTTCACAAATGCCCCAGCTGTGTAGATGGGCAGAGGGTGTGTTATTCTGTTAAAGGTAGGATTTGAGCCACTGTATTACTGAGGTGTAGTCTATGACTTCTAGGAAAATCCTTTTGGGTCTTCTGATTTCACAGCTTCTATATTCATATTTAGTTTGTATCTAACGCAAGGAATGAAGTTCTTATGCATGCTACCCTGTGAAGAAGCCATGAAAACAAGAGGCTGAGTGAAAGAAACAGACAAAAAATCACAGAGGGTCTGATTCCACTAATAGGACATGTCCAGAATAGGTGAATGTGCAGAAATGGAAGGTAGATGGGGTTGCCAAGAGCTGGGAGGAGGAAGACAAGGGGAGTAACTGCTAACAGGTAAAAGGCTTTCTTATGGGGGTATGTAAATATTTTGGAACCAGATAGAGGTGGTGGTTGCACAACATTGTGAAGGTGCTAAGTGAGGCAGAACTGTGCCCTTTAAATTAGTTAATTTGTGTTATGTAAATTTCACCTCAAATAAAGATTAAGTGGGGAGGGTGGGCTCTCAACTCAGAACCAGAGCAAGTACTTCAATCCCAATGCAAAGGTTACTTGGCTATTTTGGCTGCATCAACCTGAGCACTTCCATCAGAGCTGGCTCCCTGAATCCCAGGATCCAACCTGTTTGTTGTTTATGCTCCTTGGGGAGCTTGGCTCATGACCCGACTTGGAAATGACATTTCCAGGTGCTAGGATCTCTCTGTGCCCAGTGCTGGGGCTGCACCAGGCACTGAAGCCTTCCCACCCCAGGAGGGCTGTGTCCTCCTCTTGTGTGATGAGGAAGAATGTGCTGCTTAGTCACTGGCCTCAGTAGTGGTCTCTGGGCATGAGCTAGGTCTCAGTGAGCCCAGGGATGGGAAGCCTGGCTCTGTCCCTGAAGCCACATGCTGCCTCCAAAATGGGCATTTTCTCTTTGTTGAAGGGTAAGTCACCTCTCCCCTTGAAACTCTTTTATCTATAAATCTCCTTTCTTTGTTGGGGACCAGAGCCCAACTGCTCCTGCTTGGTGCCTTGGTGGCCTGGGGTGGGCCACGGAGGTCTGTTTGCAGCTTCTCTTCTGTCATCATCACGAGTTCTGACACCCTGGCCCAGGCACAGAACTGCAGGTCACCCTGATGTTTCCATGGGCACCAATGTTACCAAGCCCCAAGACTCATCCTATGACCAGATTAGATCTGAGCCAGATCTGCGGTCCTCCCTGGCCTCAGGTAAGAGTGTCTAGGTAACAAGTGCAGGGAGGGGAGGGGCTGGGGCTGGACCCTTCCATTTCAAGAGAGCTGCCAACTGAAGGGGACTCCATCATCCCAGCAAGGAGGGAAGATTCAAACACTGGGCTCACTTGGAGCTGGTCCCTAGCATTCTCCTAAACCCTGCTGATGCACCAATATGTGACTGCAGGCCACAAGGTCACCTGTGGAATATTTCCAGGCATATCGCAGGCATTTATCAGTTAGTTTGTGGAACAAGCTCTGTTCTAGAAGCTTCTGTGATTCAGAAGCAAAGCTTCAGCAGCTCAGGGTTGTAGAACCAGGTAGATCTCACTGTTCTGAGACTTTCCATAATTCCGTCTGTAAACTTTTCATCATAAATGTGATCATCAGTTCAGGCTCCCATGACAGAGATCACAGACTGAGTGGCTTAAACAGCAGAAGTTCATTCTCTCAGTTTTAGGAGGCTGAAAGTCTGAGATCCAAAGATTGCCGGGATCATTTCTTTCCAAAGCCTCTCTCCTTAGCTTGTAGATGGCTGCCTTCTCCCTGTGTCTTCTCATGGTCATCCCCCTGTGGGTGTCTGTGTCCTAATCTCCTTTACTTATGAAGACACTACCCCTATTGGATTAGGGCCTACCCTAATGACCCATCTAAACATAATTACCCCTTTAATGTCCCTGTCTCCAAATTCAGTCACATTCTGAGGTACTGGGATAGTTCAACATATGAATTTAGAAGAATACAATTCATCCCATAGCAGCAGCCCTTACTTAGATGGGGATGCTGAGGCAAAGAAAGAGTCAGCTACTATGAAAAAGAGCTGGGATTTGCCCCCAAGAGGTCAGCTCTCACAGTCTCAGCATGAACTCCTCAGATCACTGGGTTTAACCAAGCTGTGGGATTCCAGAAGGGGTACTGACCTTCTCCTGTTTAACTTTCAAGTTGGGCAACAAACCACCTTGGTTTTCCTAGGGCTATGAGGATTTTCAGGACAAGAGATGTTCAGAGCTTAAACTGGGAAAGTCCTAGGCAAAGCAGGATAAGTTGGTCACCCTCCCCTCATGATTCTACAAAGAAAGACCTGTGATTGGCAATGTGGAGGAGAGTGCCTGCTCCTGTTGTGGACGTAGCCCAGGGTTCAGGTGTGAGTCTCCCTCAGGAGTCCAAGAAGCCTTTTTTTTTAAATCAGTTTGCGGAACAAGCTTTGTTCCAGAAGCTTCTGTGATTCAGAAGCAAAGTTTGCTTTTATGAAGAGGTCACCAGCACTTCCCCAAGTGTAACTGAGCTGCATAAAGCTCTCCATAGGTGCCGTACCCAAGTGAGTCCTCTATGTCAAACCCTGTTCCAGGAGCTGGAGAAGTTATTGAACAACATTGTGAAGAGAATAAAAAACCTGATAAATCTTCCATTCCCACAGAGGGATTTCTGCAGAAGTAAGTAAGTTGCATAGACACTCAGCATGTGATGAATGCAATGTTAATAGGAAGCAGAAGCTTCTCTGGAAGTTGATACTGGGGCAAAGATTGGAAAGAGGATACAAAGCTTACAGATGTGCAGAGGCCCTTCCAGGCAGCAGAACAACATAAAGGTCCTACCAGGAGGCCCTCGTGCTGAAAGTGAGGAGTTGAGGGGAGGTGAGCAGGAGAGAGGTTGGGTAGACCTTCCCTAGAGCACTGAAAAGCAACTGCCCCATGTGGGACTCAGAATATCTCAGAACCTTAGGGCAGAGGAATTGCCTGGTGCCTCCACCAAAACCATGCCATGAAAACTGTCTGTGTCAATGAGAGAGTTGGAGAACAAAGGTAAAGAAATGCACCTCTTTCCTTTATGGGCACCTAGGTGCATGGATACACACCTGGTGTTGGGCACAGCATCAAGAATACCTGAACGAGGTGGAGAGAGGGATGGGGGCAAGCAGGAGAGGGTACCCTGCAGTGGAGGATATGGGATGGATGGATCACTTGCAGGAGACTCATTCCTCTCCTTGACTTTGCTCTGTGAGATTCCCACCAATCTTGGGAGGCCCAGCAGGACCCTCTTGGGAAGCCCAGCAGGTCAGAAGGCAACCCTGACTCTCCTTCCTAGGCCTGGTAAGTTACCAACCTTTGTCTTTGCAGGGTGTGCCCAGGCAGCCAAGGCAGCCCACCATGGCCCAGTTTCTCTCAGTGTTCTCTGGGAAGCTGGATTGGGACAACAGGACAGAGACCCCAGGACAAGTGAACATGAGTCATACGGGAGGCGAGTGGTTGGTGGGCAAACAGGTGGTTTTCATCCTGACAGTGCTGGTGGCCTTCTGTGGGCTGGTGGGCAATGGTGTGGTGTGCTGGCTTTTCTGCTTCCAGGTCAGGAGCAGCCCCTACATGACCTATGTCCTTAACCTGGCTGCTGCTGATATGGTCAACCTCTCCTGTGTAACTGTGATCCTGTTGGAGAAAATCCTCATGCTGTATCACCAGGTGACATTGCAGGTGGCCATGTTTCTGGAGCCTGTGTCCTATTTCTCTGACACAGTGAGTCTCTGTCTCCTGGTGGCCATGAATATTGAGAGCTTTCTGTGTGTCCTCTGTCCCACCTGGTGCTGCCACCGCCCAAAGCACACCTCTGCTGTGATGAGCATCCTGAGCTGGGCCCTGGCCCTTTCTTTGCATGTGGTTAGCCAGGTTTGTGAGTAATGGGAGAAGGGCCTGGCATGTGACCAATTTCAGGCAGGCTTTATAATATTTCACATGCTTATTTGTCTTGTGGTGGGCATTTCCAGCCTGACTTTGATCATCAGGAGCCTGTACTGCCTGAAGAACTGTTCACCCATCCGGATCTACCACATTGTCCGCTTTGTGGCCATCAGCTTCCTCGTTTGGGGCCTGCCCTTAGTTGTCCTTGTGTACCTGCCAGGAAAAGAATACCTGACCTTTGCCTTTGACCTTCTGTTGCTGCTGTCCATGGTAGTCAGTATGGCTCAACCAGCCATCTACTTCTTGGCTGGCTACCTTTGAAGGAAGAGGCATAGGGAGTCCTTAAAGTTGTTCTCCCAAGAGCTTTGTTGAATGAGATGGAAGGTGGAGGAAACAAGGGGTTTCAGGCAAGGGAACAGCAGGTTACCAGGACTGAGCTCCTCCCACTCCAGGAAGCTGTTCCCCAGGACTGACCATGATGCCCTGTATTGGTCCATTCTCACACTGCTATAAAGAAATATCTGAGACTGGGTAATTTATAAAGAAAAGAGGATTAATTGGCTGACAGTTTGACAGGCTGTACAGGAAGCATGGCTGGGGAGGCCTCAGGAAACTTACAATCATGGCAGAAGGTGAAGGGGAAGCAGGTACGTCTTCACATGGCAGGAACAGCAGGAATAGAGCAATGGGAGAGGTGCTATACACTTTGAAACAATCAGATCTGGTGAGCACTCACTCACTATAATGAGAGCAGCACAGAGGGGAAAATCTGCCTCCATGATTCAATCACCTCCCACCAGGCCCAACCTCCAATACTGGAAATTACAAATGGACATGAGATTTGGGTGGGGAACATAGATCCAAACCATATCATGCCCTGTGGAGTCTGCCCCATAAGGAGGTGCTTGAGTCCTGGCAAACATAAGACTCTGAATAGGGCAGGAAGTCAAGTGGTGGAAAAAACTATGACTAGAGGAAATGTTCACTGAAGATTCCCTTTGTCTCAATACTGCTCTAATTACTTTGCAAATATAAAACCAGGTAATTTTAACAATTCTATGAATAGATAACGTTATTATTATCCTGCTTCAGCCTAAGCCAAAAGGCCACTTGGCCCACTTAGTCAGTGGTTATCCAAAGGCCCCAGCACATTATAACAAGCACAGTCCTTCACCATCACGCTCCTCCTTGGTGATCAATCACAGTTGGACTCTTGTGGGTCTGTCTGTGGGCCCTCTGCTCTATTCCATCAGTCTATTTATCCATCCATGGACAATACCACACTTGATGTAGTTACTGCATCTTTATCATACATGTCTATCTGCGAGAAGCTGAGTCCTCCTACAAGCAGCTAGATAGAGAAGAAAAAGACATATATGTACAGAGAATCAAAGATACAAAGCAGATTTCTTGTTGGAAAATTGCAAGTTGTATGGAAGTATTTTTTTTAAAGAAAAAAATGCCAACCTAGAATTCTTTACACAGTCAAAATTTTGTTTTCCAATAAAAAGGCAGAATAAAGAGGTTTTCAGATTGACAAAAGATGAAAGAAATCATCACCAGGAGATGTACAGATTGAGAAATGGTAAAGGACATCCATCTAGCAGGAGAATAATGACTCCAGATGGAAATCTGAGTCTACTAAAGGAAGGAGCCCTTTGCACTGCTAGACTCTCCATAGGATGCTGAATACAAGTAGTGAGAGCTGACATCCTCACCTAGTTCTTCCTCTGGGGTGAAACCATCCAGTCTTTCATCATTAAGAATAACGTCCAGTAAACATCAACTACAGGGTTTTTGTAGGTGCCTTTTATCAGTTTAAGAAAATTCACTTCTATTCCTAGTTTTTAGGAATAGAAATAGACTGGAAGTTTTTATAAGGTTGATGGATTTTGTCTAATGCTTTTTCCAAATATACTGAAATAATGATGTGCTGTTGTCTTTTCATCTGTTAATATGGTGAGTTATACTGGCCCATTTTTAACGTTGAAGCAGCCTTGCATTCTTGGGATAAATTTCACTTTGTCGTTCTGTGCATATATTTATACTTGTGTTGCATATGTATGTATGCTCAAGGGCACGGGTTTCTGTGTGTGGCAATGCAGTGGACCTAGATTAGAAATAAAAAACCCTCTAAAAAAGAAGAATTAAGTAAGATGGCTAACAATACCTAACTTCAAGACCTATCGTAAAGGTTCAGAAATTCAGACGGTATGGTATTGGTAAGAGGCTAGACAAATGGATCAATAGAACAGAATACAGAGTCCAGAATAGACCATCACATATGTGTTCAATTGTTTTTCAAAAGTTGTACAGCAAATTCAGTGGAGAAAAGACAATCTTAGCAACAAATACTATTAGAACAATTAGATATGCATATTAAAAACTTCAGTCCATACATGGCACCATTATTCAAAATGTATCATAAACCAAAATGTAAGGCCTAAAACTTTAAAATTTGCATAAGGAAAAAGGTAGATATTAGTGTGACTTTGGATTAGAGAAATATTTGTTAGATAAGCACCAAAAGCATGATGCATAAAAGGAAAAAAAAATGATCAATTGGACTTCATCAAAATGATGTGTGCACTCTGAAAGACCCTGTGAGGAGAATGAAAAGACAAGTCCCAGGCTGGAGGAAGTATTTGCAAATCTCACCTCTGATGGACTCATATGCAGGTTCTACAAAAAGCTCTGGGGAGTGGACTCCTCGTGGCCCTCAGGAGTCAAAGGGGTGCTGTGCTCAGGGCAGAAATGGGAGATGCCTCCCACCCTGTCATTCATGTCCCCTGAGCAGTGGTGCTCAAAGTCCCCTACCAATGTCCCTTCCTGGGTCCACAGACCCTTCTCTCCCCACATCTACACTGACAGGCCAGGCCCCTCCTCCAGGGCACAGGGAGGGACAGTTGGTCTCAGGCTCTGGGTGCCCAGCTTCATGCTCACCCCTTCCTTCAAGGCCCACTGGGCCTGTCTCACAGGATATAGTGAGGTTGTCTGGCATCTCCTGGACATGCTGTCTGGGCCTATTCCAAGCTGCAGCCAGAAAAATGGAGGAATGTTTGTCAGACCAGGTACCCTTCCCACAGAGCCTGGGTCCAGATACACAGTACAGAGGCCACAGGGTGGCCAGCCTAGAACCTGTGAGGTGGGCTGGGGACCACACAAGGGCTGTCTCCAGACAGCCAGGTGAAGCTTTGCTAGTTTCTCGGTATCTCATTTCTTTCCTTTTCTTTTTTTCTTTTTTTGAGACAGGTTCTTGCTCTGCTGCCCAGGCTGCAGTGCAATGGCGTGATCTCAGCTCACTGCAATCTCCACTCTCTGACTTCCAGGCTTAAGCCATTCTCCCACCTCAGCCCCACCAGTAGCTGGAACTACAGGCGCGTGCCACCACACCTGGCTAATTTTTTTGTTTTGGTAGAAATGGGCTTTCACCATGTTGTCTAGGCTGGTCTTGAACTTCTGGACTCAGGCAACCCACCCTCCTTGGCCTCCGAAAATCTTGGGATTACAGGCGTGAGCCACTGCATCTGGCTGTTATTTCATTTCTTGCCAGTTACCTTACCCTCATGAAAAACCCCCTTCATTCAAAATCAGTAAGAGGAGAAAGGTGGTAAAAGAATCAATGGAAAGAAAACAGGATATAACTTCTGTCCATATAACTTCTTTATGTCCCATTGGAAAGAAAAGCCTAAAGGGGTCCACTGGTTTCTATTGCTCTGAGGTCCCGACGATGGCATTACACAGTGCAATAACTACCAGCAGGGGCCATGCTTGATTTCAGCAGACGTCAGTGAGGACATACCTGGGATCTTCTGGGGTCGTGGACATGGACTTAGAGCAGAACTGAGTAAACAGGTGTGCACAGGCACGCACACACATACACATACACGTGCACATGTGCACACACAGGGACACACACTTCTGCACTGTTCTAGACTGTTCCCGGGGCAGCAGTCCTGGGCTGCACAGATGAGCCCCTCCCCATCCACTCTGATTCCACAAGGCTCCCCGACCCCGCTAGTCACCTGGCTTGTTGTCAGTGGTGTCCTTTGTGTCCCGCCTTGGCACAGGCTCAGGACCTGGGATTGCCAGATGCTGAGAGGAGATGAGATGGAAAGGATGAGGGAAGCAAGAGAAGAAGGAAGAGAGGGAGGGAGGGATGTGGGGAGGGAAGGAGGGAAGAAAGGAAGGGAGGGCTGCCGGAGACCAGCCACCCAGGGACAGTAGACACAGGTGACAGCAGACCCTCTCAGGGATGCTTTGTACAGACTGTCATGAATGAGCAATGTCACTGGAACTCCAACTTTTGCTCCCTTCCCAGCCCTCTGGGGGTCCCTATCAGGTGCAGTTTGAATTACAGGAAATTACTGGAGGGTCTTAACCCTGGCATCTGCCTGAGAGTGGGAGGCTGCAGTGCAGTGTGGCTCACAGTTGGGTGGGAACCTTGGCCTTTCTGGTGCTTGGCCCTGCTGCGGCCTTTGGGATGGGGAGGCTGTGAGAGGCTGGTCAGGGTCTGGGCTGTGCCATCTTCATTTCCCATCCACCCCAGTATGTCCAGGGCTTCCTGCAGAGAGCTCTGGGCAACTCAAAAACAGGCAGGACATAACAACAAAGACTTTATTGTGCTTTAATCAAAATAAGTGGGGGCTTTGAGGCCAAGGAAGGGGTCCTTTTCCCCAAGAAGAGGCATTCTTAGGCATTGTTGAATCTATGCTGGAAGCTCTGGTCCCACCTTGGAGCCTCCTGCAGTGAGTAGAGCCAAGTTTCCTGACTTTTTCTGACCACAAAATGCAACTGCCAAGAATGGCAGATGAGGGATCCAGCCTCCTGGACTCTCATTTGCTTAGTTTTCTTCAGTCTTGTGTCCTGGAGCAGATTGTGGACCCTGGAAGCAGGGCCCCAGTGCCATCTGCTTGGGCCTCAGAACTCTGCCCCATTGGTGGTCTGGTGGTGGCCACTTATCCTGCAGGAGCCTGACCATTTCTGCTTCCTTGAATGGATGAGGTTGGTGGCTGGTCCACGTGTTTCTGCCCCACCCTCACCAAGGTGGCCAGTGGTAGTTTGAGCTTGGTAACATCATCAGCTTGGCCTTGCCAGGCACACATAGGCCCCGGGTATGTACGCAGTGCTCCAAGGGGGCTTGCTCCGCCTTAAGCCAAATACTAGTTCTGGCCAGGGCCACAGGGGGCTCCATCTCCTGTGTATCTTGGCTGCTGCTGGAGGCCCCAAGGCACCCCTGGTGCCCCTTCCCTTTCAGGGCTCAGGTTGAGTCTGGGCTAGGGCCCTCTGGGTCTAGGAATTGTGCGTTGAGAGGGGGGTTCTGCCCTACAGGTTGGGACCATGGATGCAGGGCATGCTGCTGGGTGGCCTGGGCTGTGGGGACACCATGCTCACCCCTCCCTCCAGTGGCCTCCAAGTGTCCAGCTTCCCCATCAGTATTGACTTTCCATGTCTAAGGAGCTCTCTGGGGCTTTGGGGCAGCTTGCCAAGTGCTGCCCTGGCTCCTTCTGGGCCGTGATGTTCACTGTCTGCCAAGAGTGATCAGCTGTAGGCATCACATGCAGGAGAGTTGTCTCTGGCCCTACCTCTGGGCTATCAGGGGACTGGGCAGTGTCTGGTATTGGGGGCTAGGCCAGTCCTATGATCTTAGAGGTGTCCAGGACACATATGGAAGTGATAGGGGCCTAGCATCTCTGCTCCAAGCTCTACTGTGAAAACCACAGGCCTCTGAGGTCCAGGTCCATGGGGAGCTTAGAGAGGGAGTTCCAATGCAGGAATCACCAAGCACTCTGTGGTCTATCCTGAGCTGGGGATGGGCTGGCCACACTCTGAGTCCCCAGGGCCCCCAGAGAGCAGCCTGCTGTCCTGGGCTCTGCAGAAGCTCCCTTATGCCTCTGGGCTTTGGCCTTGGGTACAGCATAGCCAGGTGAGGGTGAGGGAGGATGAGGCTCCTGTTTCAGGAGGGCTATACCCATGGGCTGCTGGAGCTGGGCTGTGGGCCAGGGAGAAGCAGCCCATCCCCTTGGGGAGGGTCTCAATGCTGGGGGATATCTGCAGAGGCCTGGGTGGTGGGGGTGCTTGCTCAGGTTTGGCTGAAAGGAAAGCAGATTTGGTCAGCTTTTCCATTGAGAACATCTTGCTTTTGCCAGGCTGGACCCCACAGACCTGGGTCCCTGCAGTCCTCAGGGTCCCCGTGTGGTCCCCCTGGTCTAATGCTGAGGACACTCCTGCAGGCTGCTACTCCCAGAGCGAGGTGTGTGTGCAGCCTAGAGTGGGGAAGCTGTCAGGGAAGCTCAAGTCACTCCAGGGACAGCCCCCAGGGTTCAGGCTGACTCAGTCTTCCTGCCTCACACTCTTGCCCCAGGGCTGCTTAGCCTGGGCTTTAGCCTTGATTCAGAGCTCAGATGGATGAGGCCTTAACTGTTACCTAGCCCCTTTGCCACGCAATATGGGGGCTTATCTCCACAGTGGATGAGACACCCTCCACTCCTCTGGGGGATCTCCATGCCAGGGCTGGACTGTTCCCACACTCAGCTGAGCAATCAATTCTGGCTCTGGGCCAGGGTTTCACCTATGCCCTCTCCCTAGATTCTCTTAGGGTCTCTGACACTGATTTTAGGCCCTTGGAGGGGTGCTCAGGAGTGAAGGCCCCCTGCTGCTCTCCAGGGCTGCTGGTACTCACAGGTGTGGTTGTGGGCTTGCACAGATGGATCTGACCCCTCCAGTGTCCTTCTGGGGCTTTCAGGAGTGAGAGCAGGAGGGTACAGGGGAGGGGCTTGGAAGAGTCTTGCTCACGTCTCATTGTCTCTGAGGCATGTCCAGTAAACCCAAGGTCAGCTTTTGCCCTAGGCTCAGGCAGCCTGGTTTCAGAAGCTTCTTAGAGGAGGAGGGAGAGGAGGGGCTGGAGGAAGGCCCAGGGAGCAGGGCTGGTGAGGTCTGGGCACTTCCCACTATTTACTGCCCCGCAGGGTGACACAGGAGGAGACTTGGTGCTGAAGCCCACCTGGGTGTGCAGGTCACAGTGCATGCTTCTCAGTTCCCCCATGGAGGCCTCAGGGTGCCTCATCACCATGTCCTCCTCCAGGGCCCAGGCCTAGGACAGTGTGTCCTGAAGGAACTCCTGCAAGCCAAACAGGAACAGCTTCAGGGGGTGTTCTAGGGACAGGGTGACTATGAGGCTGGGAGGGGTCTGTGGGAGAGTCAGTGTCTGCACCTTGTTCCTGCCCCAGGCACCCACCACTGGGCGGTGCTGGATCCTACTGTGGCTGCCCCAGGGGTCCAGATGTTCACAGAAAACCACAGCTGGAGGAAGGCCTGGGCAGGGAAGTGCTCAACACACTCTTGCCTTTCATCTGGGTTGTGTCAGGAGTGGGTTTGGTACCTGGGTCCACTCCCTGCCCAGCCCACCAGGCCTGGTCTGGCCCTACCTCCAGGCTGGAGCAGAGAGCCATCTGGACAGTGTGGATGCTGCTCTCAGGTCATCACACACCAGAAGCCAGGAATCTGTCCTGGCTATAGGTCCCAGGGTCTGTCCTGCATGCTCCTTCTGGGCACCATTGGCCACCCAGGGACTTAATTCTGTGGCTGTGAAGGCCATGTATACCATAGTTGTCACCACACACTCACCTCCCAGTAGGTAGACATCCCAGAGCCACAGGATGAGCATGAAGGAAGTCTGTGGGAACAGCAGGTGTGGGAGGACCTGGCCTTTCCAACCTCGGGGCTGGTGGCTTGAGCAGGGCCCACTGTAGCCTCAGTCTGGACTTCCTGAGGCTCCCTCTGCTTGGGAAGAGACCCACCCAATCTTCCATAAGGCTGGGTCAGACAAGGTCCGGCAGCTCTTCATGGGGATGGACTCATCTCAGCAGAAATGTGGTTCCCAGAATAAGGGGCTTCCTGAGGGCTTGTGGCTTCCCTGGCTCCTTTGGCTCTTCCAAGATGGGTCTTGGCCCAGTCTGCCCAGAATTCCCTGGTGTCTGGTGTGTAAAGCTCCCATCATACAGGTCCTGGCTTGTGTGCCCTGCAGAGACCTGCCTGTGCCTCCTGTGGGGTGGGGGTGAGCTGGGTCCTCCTGGGGAAGCCAGACCCCTGGGCTGGGGGAGCTGAGCACTGTGGGGAAAGGAGGTACCTGGCCTGGGGTCTCCTATGCATCCTTATCTCATCGATGAAGCACCATAGAAACCAGTTTAAGGTGGAAAGCCGGATGCACAACCCTTCCTTGTCCTGATAGAAGGAATAGAAGTGTTCAGGGTCCCCTGGGCTTCCGTGAAAACCTCTGTATTCCAGACCCCACTGCAGACCCTTCCCCAAGAGGTAGAACAGTGGTGGCTGTGCCCCAACACCTCCCCATGGCATGGGCCCCCAGTGGATGTACTTCCCCTAGCCCTGGCTCAGCCAGAGCTTGGCCTGGTCCCAGTGCCTCTGTCCCCTCCAGGTAAGGAAAAGGAGGCCAAACTTTGAATCCATTGAAAACCAGATCAAGCCCTGGCTGGAAGTTGGCCTCTCACCAGCCCCAGGCTTCCCCTGTCCCTGCTAACCCCATGGGACCCAGGGCCTCTGGGGAAGAGCTGAGGGACTGACCACTCACCATGTGCTTCATAAGCTCTCAGAACACTTTTAGCAAAACTTGCTCTTGATGGGCTTGGAGACTCTGGAAGTTAGAACATCTTGGGATGTAGACTCCTGAGAGGCTCCTGGGGCCCCAAGGAATCAGAGCCTACTCCTGAGATGTGGAGCCATCAGGCTGGGCAGTGGCAGTTGGGCAGTGGCAGTTGGGCAGCAGCGGTTGGGCAGTGGCAGTTGGGCAGTGGTGGTTGCTTCCAGACCCCAAGGCCTTTCACTGTCCCATCCAGTGACCCCATCATGTGGTCTCGGCCAGGAGAGGAGGGGTGGGAATGCCCCTGGGGCCTGGCTGGAGGCACTGCTTAGTGGCTTCCAGGGCCATGGCTCCAGAAGGGCAGGCCTGCCTTTGAAGCAGTGAGGACAGGTGGGAGCTGGTGGGGTGACCAGGGGTGCTGGAGGGTGTGTGGCCTTCTCCTGGATGTGGGGTCAGGGCAGGGGACACAGGACAGACAGAAGCTGTCATCTGGGCTTGGTCTAGCCATGGGCAGGGAGGGTGGTTGGGAGGGTGGCCAGCTGGGAGGTGGAAGGACCAGCAGGGTTGTAAGAGTCCCCTGCATAAGGTCAGGGCCAGAAGGTTGTGACACCAGGATGCAGAAGGTGGTCACAGGGCAGCTGTGATCCCATTTGCTGATGGGGACAAGAGGCATCTGACTTGGGGTGTCGGGTCCCTGGCCAGTCACAGGCTCCTGTGGGACTCTCAGCAGGGGATACCCTGGAGGCTCAAAATGAGCAGGGGACAGAAGGTGCCTTGTCTGTAAGTCACAATTACCCAGCCAGTGTGGCCGTCCCCTGTCCTGGCTGTGTGATGCCTCGTGGGTAGCTGTCCACTGTGAGCTAATGTCACATGGGAGGACTGTGTCACCTGAGAGGGCAGAGGTCACCTTGGAGAGTACCATGCTTGGCAAGCCTCTCATTGGCCAGCAGCTGGGCCAGCACCCAGATGTCTCCTCATTCTGGAACATGAGCAGGATAGTGGCTCATGGCATGATATGGCTTATGCCCCCGCAGTAGCCTACCTCTGGCAAAAGCCAAAGTCATCATGGAAAGACTTCACCAAGGCTGACGTCACCTTGGAGGGTTGAGGTCACCTGAGAGGGCTAATGTCACCTGAGCACACTATGTCACCAAGAGGGCAGAGGTTACCTGGAAAGGCAGAAGTCCCCTGGCAGAGCTGAGGTCACCTGAGGAAACAGGTCACTTGGAAGGGAAGAGGTCACTTGGGAGAGTTAATATCCCCTAGGAGAACTAATGTCACCTGAGAAGGCAGAGATCATCTGGGAAAGCAGAGGTCCCCTGGAAGACCTGAGTTCACCAGGGAGGGCAGAGATAACCAGGGAGGACTAATGTCACTTAGGAGGGCTGAGGTCACCTGAAAAGACTGAAGTCATCTGGAAAGGCAGAGGTCACCTGGGAGAGCTGAGGTAACCTAGGAGGGCACAGATCACTTGAGAGGGGAGAACTAATGTCACCCAGGAGGGCAGAAGTCACCTGAGAAGGCAGAGGTCACCAGGAAGGCCTGCCACAGGTCCCGGGGAATTTAGGGTGCAGCTTCCGTGCCCCTCTCCTGACACTGTGGTTCACTTGAGCCAGTCATGGACATCTCAGATGAAAAGGAGCTATGGAAGAGACTCCTGCTTCATCCAAACTCATGTGTGGCCAGAAAAGGCATAGGTGAGGGCCGTTAAGAACACCCTGACCCGAACTGCAGATGCTAAGCTGGGGAGGCCACTGTGCCAGGCTCAGGGCAACACCCATGAACTGAATCCCTATGAAGGCTGGCTTGTGGGTGCTGACCACTGCACATAGGGGACTGGGATGGCTCACAGGCTGCTGGGCACAGGAAGACAGCTAGGTCCAGACCCTGTGTGGGCAGCCCATGGAGTCTGCTCAGCAGCTCTTCCTGCCAGGAATGGTCAGGAAAGTGGGGGCTGGAGAGTGGGAGCAGCCATCTCAGTAAGTCCTTCCCTGTCTGCTGTGCTGTTCAGGGTTCGGGTGAAGGGGAACTTTGATCCCAAAGCCTGATTAAGATGATGGCTTCTTCAGGATCCAAACTCACTTTATGACAAAAGAAATGTTCATTAGGCACTTCACCATCTTGTAAAATATTCTGAGAGGGACAATCTGCAACAACGCAAAGCTTGTGGGGTTTGAGGTGGGAAAGGAAAATAAAACTCAGGACTCCAATTCACTATGCCAAATGGAAAAAATTAAGCTGAAAGCTGAGTCATGCAAAAAACTGTCTTTCCTTTTGTTCCTCAGCAGATAGCTACAGATAGAAGGTTAAATAGCTCCTCAAGTAGCTAGTCTTATGTTCACCTTATGTAAAGGGCCTATTACTGAGTGTGAGATGAATCCATAATTGACTGTTTTCCTGCCTACTCCTTTTCTCTTGCAACATGTGGATAACCACACCCTCTTTCCCATCTAGCACACTTCTCACCTTTAAATATTGAAGCCCTCACAATCATCTTTGAGAAAGGTACATATACCTGTTTCCTGGGTGCGTCCTTAACCTTGGCAAAATGAAAATTCTAAACTGATTGAGACCTATCTGACATACTTTTTCGTTTACAAGTTGGCAACCAACGGAAGAGACTCTGAGTGAAGGTGGCCCTGACCTTTGACAAATCTACTTGTGCATGGTACCAGTATGAGCTATATTTTTATTTTATCTGTTTTAATTTTGAGACAGTGTTTCACTCTGTCACCCAGGTTGAAGTGCAGTGGCACGATCCCTGCTCACTGTAGCCTCCACCTCCCGGGCTCAGGTGATCCTTCCACCTCAGCCTCCTGAGTAGCTGGGACTACAGGCTTGTGCCACCACACCGGGCTAATTTTTGTAATTTTCATAGAGACAGGGTTTTGCCTTGTTGCCCAGGCTGGTCTTGAACTCCTGGGCTCAAGAAATCCTCTGGCCTTGCAAGGCCTCCCAAAGAGCGGGGATTACAGGCATGAACCACCATGTCTGGCCTTGAGCTATCTTTATTGTTCAAACTGTTACAATAGGTAATTAGTCAGACATGAATAGGTCAGGAGAGGGACCCTCGCCCAGGAATGTCAGGCAACCATCAGATGGTGGTCAGGAGGTTGTTAAACTGCCTCTTGAAAATAATAATTGGCTGCAGCCGGTGCCAGGGAAAGGCAGCCTCCCAATAGAAACACCTCAAGTTGGTAATCAGCAGCTTCCCAATAAGATCTCAGGAGGTGGGCTAGTGGACTTAAGCATGTGCACTAACAGGCAAAATGGCAGAGTTGAACCAGTATATAACCTTTCTCCAGGAACACTCGGCTGGTAAGGGAAGAATGCCTTAAGTGAGCATGTGTACAATTTTGGTAAACACATTGTGTATGTTGCCCCTTCCAAGTGCTGGCAGGCCACTGTGCACGTGGACAGCCCACCCCAAGGGAAAAATCAAGGGAGAAGAGATGCAAACCACTCCCCCGCCCCAAGAGGCATGCCAATGTATGAAACCCCAAGTCAAAGATCAAACCATGAACTTGATCTCTCAAGTCACCCACTCGGCCCTCTTTCAAGTGGACTTTACTTTCTTCAGTTTCTGCTCTAAAGCTTTTTAATAAATTTTCACTCTTGGCTCTAAAACTTGCCTCAATCTTTCACTCTGCCGTATGCCCCTCAGTCGAATTCTTTCTTCTGAGAAGGCAAGAATTGAGATTGCTGCAGACCCATATGGATTTGCTGCCAGTAACAAAACCAACAGGACGATTTGCTGAGGCCTGGGAGGTATCATCTCCAGAGAATCCCTGATTTCTCAAAATGTTGTTGAGATCTAAGGTTTATTTTGCTGTTCAACTCCTTTTCTAGAGTTTTACTTGCATCCAAAAAGATGAGTTTTTCTGAATCCATGATAATGGAAAGCAGGCAACTCCTTTCCAGAGTTTCAGCTTGCTTCCAACAGGGAAGATGAGTTTTGAGTTTTTTTCCTGCTTCTAGGATGATAGAGAGCAATCTTCAACCTGGGCCTTATTCCTACATAAGTAGCTGAAATGGGGTTTGTCTTGGAAATTCTCTGAAAGTTAAGATTAACTACCAGCTGGTCTTGATTCCTCCTTACCATTAGAGTGCTCAGTAATCTTATAAATTGTGCAATCATTTGTTTTGCTTTACTTTTTTGTTGTTGTTTATTTGTTTGGTTCTGTTTTTGTTGTTTTAGTCTTTTTTCCATTGGGTTTGACCACTCTAGTTGACTTGGTCAAACCTGAAGGAAAGTTCTAAATTATGGGGAACAAGACCTCTGAACTGGCTAAATTCCTGAAGCTGGAAAAACAAAGAGAAAAAAAAGAAAAATCAGCCATCGAAGCAAGAAAGATTTCAATTACCTGAAGGGCTTTATTTACATAACAAAACAACCCTTTGCTAGCCAAGCCAAACTGAAATAGCAATAGTGGTTGCCCCATGCTGTAGTTCAGTAGCTAAGGTTCTGCCCTTTTTCCACCATGGCAGCCTGGGTTTGGTTCCTAAATAAAGTCTTTACTGGTTTGATATTTGTGTTACATTTGAAATATTAGAAGTTTGTCCCACCTAAAACATGGTAATGTAACCAAAATGCAGGTTAGTCGCTTGTTGCTTGCAGAGTCCAATTAACAAAAGTGAAGTCTGGTATAAAGAAAGTAATTTATTTCCAAAACTAGCTTAGGGGAAGAAATGCAGGTGTCCTCCATATGGCTTCACTTTTAAAAAGCAGGGGAGGAAGTGAGCAAGGGTGGTGGCGGGGGGTCCATGCTAGCTCTTGTGCCTTATCTACGGGGCAATCAGCTTGTGACTGCTGGCACCTTCATGGGCAGGCTGTTATCTCTTGAGACAACCTCCTAAAGAGTGAGAGTTCCACAGTGGGCATGATTGGTTTATAAATCAACTGTTAATTCTCAAGTTGACTTTCCAGTTTGAGCGTGTAGTTAGATGAACTTGCACTGTAGGGAGAGTCCGGTAATGGGGAGGTAAAAGGCTATATTTGCATTCCTAAAAGCCTAAGTAGGGAGTGGGGAACTGAAGGAACAAGAAAAGGAAAGAAAAAAAATAATAATTGATGTCTCAGGAAAATGG
Source organism: Homo sapiens (assembly GCF_000001405.40). Classification (NCBI taxonomy): domain Eukaryota; kingdom Metazoa; phylum Chordata; class Mammalia; order Primates; family Hominidae; genus Homo; species Homo sapiens. The sequence goes on along the minus strand of NT_167249.2, from coordinate 833,503 downwards.
GTGTACTCGGTTACAGCAATGAGATTTTAAAGGATTTTTAAAGCTCAGTGGTTAAAAGTCAGCTTGATTAAATGCTAATATACATAAGGTGTCAAAATTTGGCATGACGGTTATAAAATTATAAATGTAACTCAAAAGATAATTATCCTTGTGTAATTTTTTTTGATAAATAAGTCATTTATCCTGAGTTATTGGCGAAAAACTCATTTGTTTAACCTTAAGCTTCTTACTTAGGTAAACACCTGAAATTCACAGGCTATATAAATGATTAACAGGAAAATACCTTTAAATGTTGATTATCACAGTTTTCATAAGTAATCTAGGTAAACTATTAAAAATAAGTTAGGTAAATGTAATGGAAGGAATGCTTGTAAATAAGCATAATATAATTTAGAATCTAAAGTTATATTACATAACAGGCATTTATTAAATGTCTGGGTCATTCACAATTAAAAAAATTACAGAAAAACATTTTGCTAAGAATATGTTCTTATTTAAAGGAAAATAATTTTTGTTGAATTCAAAGGTTATTTAAAGGTTATGAAACAAGATAAAAGGAACCACTAAATAAGAGCGATATAAAGACAGTTAAAAATATAAAGAGATATTTTTGGTAAGAAAGGTTAAAAGGAAAATTTTATATGAGAAAAAAATCTTGCATGGTAAATGTTTGTTCTAAAATAAAATGGCTGGATGCAAATAGCTCATGCATGTAATCCTAGCACTTTGTAAGGCTGAGGTGAGCAGATTGCTTGAGCCTGGGAGTTCCAGACCAGCCTGGGCAACATGGTAAAACCCTGTCTATACAAAAAACACAGAAAATTAACTGAGTATGCTGGTGCACATCTATAGTCCCAGCTACCTGGGAGGTTGAAATGGGAGGATTGCTTGAGCCTGGGTGGGTCAAGGCTGCAGTGAGCTGTGATCATGCCACTACACCCCAGCCTGGGTGACACAGAGAGAGAGACCTTGTCTCAAGGAAACAACAGCAGCAACAACAGCAGCAACAACAAAGAAATCTTAAAAAAAAGAAAAAGAAGATAAAATGATTGGTTATTTAGGAAAGAAGCTGTTTAGGATAAAACAGGAAGTCTAGGCATGTCATAAGTGGCTTGTGTAAGTCATAGTAAGGTTTGTAAAAAGAGACTTTATGAGAAAAGAATTTATTTGATCAAGTTGGCTATAATTAAAAGGAAATTAGTCTTTCTAGAGACTGTGCTTTTGCACTTAGTGTATATTAAAAATATGCTAATCCACTCAAGAATGGGCTAGAAGAACAAAATTTTCTTAAGATATTAATTTACTCTTAACAAATTACAAGATATTTTAATTTTTTTACCCCAGATTTCAACTTTTATTGAATCTCACTGTTTTCACCTTTCTCTCCCCTTCATAAGTCCTGAGATAATCGCTCTCTCCAACTTTCTTGTCAGTTTCTATAATTTTTTTTCCTCAGGTTCTAACTGCTACTGTGACATGATGCTAAAAGTGTTTTATCTTAAAGGTCTAAAGGAAATATTTTCTTCCAATATAACATTCTGTGCTCTTGGTTTGAAGTTTTTCTATGAAACTGAAAATTTTCACTTATGATGCAAGACACACCCTTCCTATATCTAACTAATTCAAGTACCATTTTCATTAGTTTTGACTTGAAGTCTAGGGAAAAGCAATTGCTGCAGGTCTTTTATTTATTTTTTGCCTTTTGGTAACTGGCCTAACAAACAGATTTTATATTTTATTGAAACAATTCCTATGTCATTAAGTTTTTTATTTGCCTAGGAAAACTGAGATTTAAAAAATTAAAGTTATTAACATCCATACAATGTTCTGTATTGCTTTTAAAGTCCTTGTTCTGTTGAGTTACAGGGCTTTGACTCCTGTATCTAAAAAGGACACCAAGTCCTGCTAAATCTTAAACACTGAAAGCTTCTAAAACCGTATCTTCAGAACCAGGAGAAGATGATAATCAAAAGAAACTGCACTCATGAAACACAGGGCCAGAAATTGAAACTATCTTACCCCTCAAAGTCCAGGGGCTATTGTGGAAGATGTGGGTACATGCGATTGTAAGAGCCTATTTTGAAAGATAAAATTGGTTTTATCTTGGTTACAGTTTCTCTGTAAAGATTAGTATCAAAGGCTCACTGATGCAAGACTAACCTCTGAGCTCCTGTGTCAGATTAACAAGGTTTTCTTGGAGTATTAACCCACTTTTTCATTTAAAAAATTATAAAATGTTACAAAAAGGTTTTTGGAAATTATATAGTATGGTGAAGATCATTAAAATTTAATAGATTTGTTTATAAGATTTGAGAAACAGATTTCATTGGCCTCATGCTATCTTTATTAGGGCTTATTGTTTGGAAAATTAAGTCTCCTCTCTCAAAGAGTAATGGTTTTGTCTTTTGACTTTTTTTTTTTTGAAATCTTTGAGTTATCACTTTGGTTAAATGAATGACTTATTTTACAATGACCAATGACCAATGATCCTATTTTGTGATAGCAGGTGTTTTAAAGTTTTGATATTTGATTTTTTCAAAATTAAATTCTAAATTCAGTCCTTTTGACTCATTAATTTTTTTGATATTAGGTCCCCTTAAGTCCAAAAGACACATATTTGCCTTATTTGGTATAATACAATCATTAGATATTAATTTCATATTTGACAATACCTACTGTATAATTTTATTATACCAAATAAATGTAACCTAATAATCTATAATTATAATTTATATTTATAGATTTAACCTGTAATTTTATTATACCAAACAGGTATAACCTCATTTCATGGGATGCGCCCATTCCCCTGAATTCCTCCATCTCCCCTGGGACCTGTGTTGAAGGTCATCTCAGTAGCTTCTAGGTTTTAGTGATAATGAATAAGGCAGTGAATGTGACATGTAGGTTTTAGGTGTACATACATTTTCAAGTCAGCTAGGTCAACGTCTATGACACTTGTGGTCACGTGGTACAAGTACATTTAGCTTTGTGAGCAATTCCCAACTGTCTTCCAAGGCGGCTGTACCATTTTGCATTCAGCAGCAGCAGCATTTTGCAGCAGCAATGCACAGAGTTCTTGTGGCTCCACATCCTCTATGGTGTTTGGTGTTGTCAGTGTTGCCTGTGAAGTCTGAGCCCCTCTTGTGGGTCTCTACCTCAGGTACTTGTGGGTCATAGAGAGAACTTTTCACCATGCAGCATGATTGTGTTTGCTACCGCTTGTTTCCTCAGTAGCCACTTGGGTTCTGGACCCACATGCCCCAGCTCGGCCCATGGTTTGGAGCTCAGTAGATGCTCTGTGATGCTGGCTGCTCCCTGGCCAAGAGAGCCCTTGGGGGGCTCTGTCACGTCCTATCTTGGACTCCTGCATGGGATGCCCCTATTCCTCTGAATTCCTCCGTCTCCCCTGGGACCCTCCATCCCCCATAGGCCTTACCTGACTCTGTAGTGCTCCCAAAACATGACATGGTGTCTGAAGGTGCACTTCATGTCCAGGTCAATCTGGTTTATTTTCGCTGAGGACATCTTGCCCTGCTGCTTTATTTTCTGCTCCCTCTGCTCCCAAATCCTAGGCCCTCCTGAGTGTGAGCCCATAGAAAGACCCTCTTCCCTTCCCTAAGTGGCCACCTGGACTGATAACCTGTGGTGGATGAGGATGGGGCTGGTCCTTCCCTGGGGCTCACTCTCCCTCAGTTGCTTTACAGTGAGAGCCCTGTATAGGAGCCCTGCTCCTTTATTTTCTTTAGGGCAGGGCTAAAGGGCTGGTTCCTCAGGAAGGAACCAGCCTTATAACAGACAAAAGGCTCACTACCACAAACAGCAATCATTCAGCACTTCTGGAAGGAAAGACGATTTTTTTTTTTTTTTTTTGCAGAAATATCCTTCTCTATCTTATTTCCAAAGCCACTGAGGGTCACCAGAGCCCAGTTCACTTGTGGTTCCCATGCCATCGTCTGTGCCTAGGATATGGGACTGACCATCACTCAGGCTTGACTTTTCCTCTAGCTAGAGACCTGGGCTCCTGACATGGCCTGGCCTGTTTCTTCCGCTGTGGCTGAGTGTGGAAGGACCATACCTGGTACTTACTTGGGTTTTCAGCCTTCACCTTCTTAACGTCCAGCAGGAGTGACCATGCCTGACTCCACATCTGCAGGGGGATTCCTTAACAACATGCTTTTTTGCCTTAACAACATGCTTTTGCTGCAGATATCAGCCAGGGCCTGTTTCTCTGCTCCTCGCTAAGAATGCTTTGTTTCCCATAAGGAATGCTTTTAGCTAATATATAATCTATAGAAGCAATGCTTATCACTGGCTTACTGTCAATTAATATGTGGGTCTAACTCCATTCATGGCTCTCAGCTCTGAAGGCTATCAGCCCCTGATTCCCACTCTACACTCTATTTCTGTGTCTGTGTCTTTAATTCCTCTAGCGCCACTGGGTTAGGGTCTCCACGACCGAGCTGGTCTTGGCAATTGGTTGGGAGGACAGAAGACTGACTCACTGTGGAATCTCAAGCTGACTGATGACCTTGTAGATGTAAACATCTTCATCTCCTGTGTCCACTGGTGCCCTGGATCAGCAACCTGCAAGGCAGAGGGAGAGAGGGTGAGGGAGGCCAAAATAAAAGTTGTTGGGTATGGGCGTGTGGGCAGCTCATCCTTGCCCTGCATCCCGAAGGAGTCCAGGACCATCAGACCAGGGAACAGAGGGAGAGGTGAGACCCGCCTCCCTGGAGGGAGCAGCCTGACCTGTGTCTGCTTATACTTGGCAATGATGTCCCTTTACTCCTGGGCGAGCAGGATATCCATGTCTTTGTCCATATCCACCCTATAAGACAAAATACTCCCAAAATTACATGGCACCTGAGAGCTTTAGAGAACACCCCATACATCTGCTCCCAGATGCCAGCCGGGTGAACTTCATTTCACCAACACCCCCAGGACAATGGGACCAAGCCAAATGGCCCCACCTCTGCCAGGATTTCTGGAGTCCCTGGGCCTGACCAGAGGTGGGCCCTTTCCTGAGGACTTTAAAACAAGGAGACCTAGACAACAAGACTTGTTGTCCCTAAATGTCCTGAAATGGGCACACACTCCACAGCAGGATGAACGGCATCTACCTGCTCAGGGTGAAGGGCCATGATGACTATAATGGACACCTGGAGGCAGACTAGGGCCAGGAACCAGAAATCTCTATATGATCAGCCTCCTGCTATTGTTCAGACACCATGAAGATGCCCAGTTTTCTATAGGAAAGAAGAAATCTCATGAGTGTTCTGTTCCACTCAAATCTTTACTCACTGTGGCCAGTGAATCCATTTGAAGAATAACACCAGTCAAGAAGGAGGATGTTTGATTCGGAGAAGGCTTGATCTATTGTCTCCAAAGCAGCCTCCCTTTGGTGGAGGGAGGGCAGATTCCACAGTCCTGAGCAGTTGATACAGGAAGAGGCTTTGTTTTCCCAGGTCACCAAAGAACAAGTGAACTCTTGGGGACAGGTTCTGGAGAACACCCAGAGGGGCCATCTCTCCTGGGAATACCTGAGACAAAGGGAAGGTGATACGTCTGGAGGACAGGTCAGAGAGAGGGCCTTGCAGGTTAAACCCCTGTCCCCAGGCCTCAGAGAACAGGAGGAATGACTGTCACCTTTCGGCCAGACCTCCAGGGTTTCTTCATTTTCCACAACTATTCGAGGCCAGAGGGCTCCCAGCTCTGCTCCCAAACTGGAAAACTCCAGTGCCTGGTGGGTCCCACAGTAACCATCAGAGCCCACACTTAAAGTCTGAATGGATAAGATCCCTGCCTCTGGGGAACTTTTTCTTGCACAGACTTGGACTGAGGGATGCCTCTAACCCCACCCACAGGGCCCCCCATTCCTGTGGCTCTTCCAGAGCCAGGTTCTACCCCCACTGGGGTCCAGAATCCTCAGCAGATTTTGTATCTAAGGCAGGAAGGCTGCAAAGGCCAGGAGTTGAGTGCAGGACAGCACAAGGCAGGGCTGAGATCACAGTCCAGAGTCACATCTGGGTCCCTGGGTCAGTTGCCTCCCCTCTGACCTCAGGCATCTCATCTTCAAATGGGTACATTAGCACCCATTCCACGAAGTCAGTGTGAGGGTGAATGAGACGGCTGCAATACATGGTCAGTGAAGAGAAAGCACCTGGTGGGAGCTCAGCGACATTACCCTCCACAGCGCCCTGGAGGCCAGTGATGCCATCTGGTAGCATCTGCCCCCATGTCAGCAGGAAGGGGAGACAGCAGGTCACACTTACCCGAGAATGATCAGTCAGCTGTGCTGAGATGTGCCTCTCACTTAGAAAAGGGTCCTGCACACAGAGACACTCACAGACACCACTGTGTGTCTCCAGCTGCTCCACAACTCAGAGGCAGGCAGATGTTCAGCAACAGTGACGTCTGGGGTTACAGCACCCATCAGAGTGGGGCCCTGCCTGGGTCAGCAGGGCCCAGGTCCAGTGTCCTCTACTCCTTGAACTGTCAACACGCATGCATTCAATGTGTTTGTGTGTGAGTGTGAATGTGTATGTTGTGAACACGTGTGTGCATGAGTGTGTCTCTTCTCTGGCTGGTCTTGGCTGCTCCACCACATGTGCACCCAGGTCCTCATCACTGTCACCCCCAAGGGCTGTGGCCAGCATCAGAGCATCTATGGGTGCTCCCTAGTCTCTGCCCTCTCCACCTGAGGCAGTTCTGGATATGCAGACATAGGAAGGGCAGAGGGCAGAGGGCTTGCCCTTTCCTCATAGGGACTCAGTTTGTGTGTAAAATTTTAGGCCTACATGCTCAGCAGGGCAGGATTCAGCACACCTTCTCACGTCCTCCTCCTCCTCGAAGCCTTCTGGGCTGCTGTGTCCATTCCCCTTTTATAGATGGAGGGAAGGAGGCTCCCAGGACAAATCTCCTGTCTGAGGTCACACAGTGGCAGGTGACTAGGCACCACTGACCAGGTCCCCTGCTTAACTGGACCTGAGGAAGGAGGAAGCTCAGGAGGGAGGTGGGTGGAATCACCTCTTGGATGTCAGCTTCTGTCCACCAGGTGTCAGGTGACCCCCTCTTATCTGTTTTCTTTACCTCTGCTATCTCCCTTGGTCATTGAAATTGAACTGGGGTGGGGACATATTGGGAACCTATACCTGCAGCCCTTCCATCTCCTCAGAAACCTTCCCATGGGCCCAAAAATGCCCCCTCACTGGCCTCCTGTTTTCTACTCTTTAACTCTTAACCTCACCCAGGCATGGGGCCATAGTGGCCTGGAGACCCTATCAGATGCAAGTCCATTAGGGCACATCCCTGCTTAGGGGTCACCACCAGTGCCCCATCCCAATGGGACGCTCCAGTGGCTAAGAAACCCCCTTGCTCCCACACAGCCATGTGGAAACAACCTCATGTCCATTGAGAGATGAAAGGAAATGGAGGCTATCCTCACAATGGAATATTATCCAGCCATGCAAAAGAAGGAAATCCTGCCATTTGCAACATGGATGAACCTGGAAGACGCTGTGCTAAGTGAGACAAGCCAGTCACGAAAAGACATATACTGTATAATTCCACTGAGATAAAGTACCTAAAATAGTTAAACCCATAGAAGCAGAATGTAGAATGGGGGTTACTGGGAGGTGAGAAGAGGGACATGAGGAGTTGCTTTTCAGCTTGTGTAAAATTTCGGGTATGGAAGATGATTAAATTCTAGAGATTCGATGCATAACATCCTACCTATAGTAAACAATGCTGTATTACACATTAAAAAAATTCTGCTAACATTAGGAGATATATGTGTGTGTACCTGTGTGTGTATACAGTGTAGTATTTTTTTTTTTTTGCTGAACAGTACTCCATTGTATGGATGCACCATAGTTTGTTTACACGTTCACCTGTTAAAGGACATTTAGTTTGCTTCTGGGTTTTGCCTATTATGACTGGAGCTTTTATAACAGTTTGTGTACGGGTGTCTGTGTGGACATAAGCTTTTATGTCTTTAGGAGAAATACCAGGGCTGAGATTGCTGGTTCCCGTGGTAAGTATATGTGTAACCTTACAAGAAACAAATTGCTTTCCAGTGCAGCTGTGCCATTTTGCTTTCCTGGCAGCGATGTGTTAGTCCTGTTGCTCCACATCCTCGCCGGCACTACTAGTGTCTGTGGTTTTTATTTTAGACATTCTAATGGGTGTGTAACAGGATCTCACTGTGGTTTTGATTTGTAGTCCCCTAGTGAGTCATAGTATTGAGTACCTTGTCTGGGCTGCTCTGCCTGCTGCGTGCCCTCGTTGCTGAAGTTTGTGTCTGAGTCTTTGTCTCATTTCTGAAACTGGTTTTGTTTTCTTGTTTTTGAATTGGATTGATTGTTTTAATTGGGTTGGCTTGAGCATTCTTAAGTGTTCTGAATATGAGTCCTTGTCAGACGTGTGCTTTTTTAAAATATTTTCTCCAAATCTACAGCTCATCTTTTCATTCACTTAACAATGTATTTTACAGAACAAAAGTTATAATTTTGATGAAGTACAACTTATTGAATTTATTTTTGCCTTTTGCTATACTTTGCTTTCAGTGTCACATCTATGAACTCTTTGCCTAACTAGATTGGAAAAATTTTTTCTCCTATGTTTTAGTCTAAGCATTATATATTTTTATATTTTATGCTTAGATCTACGATCCATTTTGAGTTAATATTGTAACTAATGCAATTTGTTACATGTAAATTAGGAGGTTTAGATCAAGATTCATTATTCTGGATAAGACTGTCCAATTGTTGACTGGGTGCCGTGGCTCACGCCTGTAATCCCAGCACTTTGGGAGGCCGAGGCTGGTGGATCACGAGGTCAGGAGTTCAAGACCAGACTGGCCAAGATGGTGAAACCCCATCTCTACTAAAAATCCAAAAAATTAGCCGGGCCTGGTGGCAGGCGCCTGTAATCCCAGCTACTTGGGACGCTGAGGCAGAGAATTGCTTGAACCCAGGAGGCGGAGGTTGCAGTGAACCGAGATTGCCACTGCACTCCAGCCTGGATGACAGAGCAAGACTCCGTCTTAAAAACAAAAACAAAACCAAAAACCAAAAAACAAAAAAAGACTGTCCAATTGTTTTAACACTGTTGAAAAGACCTTCCTTTCTCTGTTGAATTGCTGCTGTTCCTTTGTCAATAATTAGCTATAATTGTGTGGGTTTATTCCCAAGCTTCCCAATGTCTTCCATAGATCTATGTGTCTATCACTTCTCCAATATCACCTTGTCTCCGTGAGCTCTTTTGGAACAGCACTTTGGAAGGGTAACCTGCAAGTGGGGTGAGGGGCTCTATGATGGGACATACCTGGCCTAGTGGGCAAGGAAGGGCTTTATGGTCAAACATTCCTGGGATGCAGTAACGGCTTTCCCCTGTATTGCGGGACATCAAATATTCTCTTCATTTCTTTCAACTTGAATGTTCTCACCTGTAAAATGAAAAATAACTATTCTACCTTATTTGGAAGAGAAGACCAAGAACCTATATGACATTGAGCAGGTGTCTACGGAGCACCTAGTATCATGTGATACACTTGGAAGATACCCTGGTGAACATGCTGGACACAGCTCCTGCTTCTGTAGGGCTTGCATGTTAGTGAGGGAGACAGAGACATAACCAGACAACTGTAATTATGGGCCAACATTTCTGCCCTCAGAAACATATGATGTGCAAGTGGGTCAACACAACCCAATCGTGGAGTGAAAGAGAAGGTTCTGGGGCAGTGACTTCAAAGTGAAAGAGTACAGGGTGAGAAAGGGGCAGCACAGGAACAAAACAGGGCGTGGGGAAAGAGGGACTATAGGTAGGCAGACAGCATGGGAGAAGGCAGAGGATGAAGAGAGTAGGACAGCATGGTGGGGCATAGAGAGCACTGAACAATGGCGAGAAATGGGATCCACCAGAGAATAAAGGAAGGGTTTTGCATGTTCCAGTGAGGTGTTGGGCTTCATGTCGTTCATTTTGTTTTATTCTATTGAATTTTATTGCTATTATTCCACATAAAATTCACCATTTTAAGTTACACAATTTAATTTTAAATATATTCACAAGATTTGGAACTATCATTGCTATCTAATTCCAGATCACTTATATCACCCTTAAGAGAAAGCTTATACTCATTAGCCGTCAGTTCCTATTCTCCCCTCCTGCAGCCCCTGGCAACCATTAATCTGTGTTTAGTCTGTATGGATTCACCTATTCTGGACACTTTACATACATGGAATTATATAATATGTGGTCTTCTGTGCCTGGCTTCTTTCACTGAACATGCTGTTTTCACATTTCATCCACATGATAGCCAATGCCAGTGTTTCATTCCTTTTTATGGCTGAAGGACATTGCATTGTGTAGATGTATCAGTTTCCTAGGGCTGCTGTAACAATGTACCACAAACTGGGCGGCTTCAAACAACAGGAACTTATTGTCTCATAACTCTGGAGGTTAGCAGTCTAAAGTGTCAGCTGGCTACCCTCCCTCTGAAACCTGTAAGGGAATCCTACCTTGCCTCTTCCTAACTTCTGGTGGTTTGCCAGCAATCTTGGCTTGCAGGAGCATCACTCCAGTCTCTCCTCTTGTCACCACATGGTTGCCTTCTCTTTGTATGTTTGTGTCTTCACATGCTATCTTTTCGTAAAGACACCTGCCGTATTGGATTAGGGCCTGCTCTACTCTAGTATAACTTTGTCTTAACTAATGACATCTGCAATGCTGCTATTTCCAAATAAGGGCACATTCTGAGGTTTGGGGAGTAGAGCTTCAATGTATCTTTCTTGGGAGGGCACAATTCAACCCATAACAGTGGACACACCTTTTCTTTATGCTAGGCTTTCTTATAAAAGTAATGAGATGCCAGTTAAATTAACAGTCCTTAGTGCTTCCTGTTTTTTGAGTCAAGCGCTTCGCATGTGTTATGAAGTTTACAATTGCTCTGCAGGGTGGAAGGTGGAAGCTATTATTTATAAGAAAAAAAAATTAAGGAAAGAATGGTGAGAGGGTGAACCAAGGTCACACTCTTGATCCATAATGGAGATAGGAAGACTTTCCAAGGTTTTTCCAAAAGTTCTACACTTGGTAAGTGGCAGAGTCCAAATAGAAACTCAGGTTTTCTGCTTCCAAATCCCATGATCTTTGCAATGTTGCAAGTCTGGCTTCTGCTGTGAAACGCTACTGTTATAGAATACGTCTTCCAGATCACAGAAGCTTTCATGACCCTTCGACTGTCTCATGCAAGCAATGGTGAAATGGTAGAGATGCTAATTGAGCGGGGACATCAAGGGCACCCTCAGGGCTGAGTCAGCTGCAGTCCACAAGACAGAACTAAAAGGAAAGAATCCATGGGGAAACACCTTCATTAGGCCTTTTCACTATGGGAAAAGAACTTTCAGAGTTTGAGTGATGGGAAGAGTGAGGACCTTAAACAAAATGGTGAAAGCAAAAGAAATTTTTAGAGGAGAATGGTGGGTTCAATTTGGCCCTGGTGAATTTGAAGGGTGTATTAGTCTGCTAGAGCTGCAATAGCGAAGTATCACAGACTGGGAAGCTTCAACAAGAAAAATTTATTTTCTCATAGTCCTGGAGGCCAAAATTCTGACATTAAGGTGTCCGCAGTGTTGATTTCTTCTGAGGCCTCTCTTGTTGGTTTGTAGATAACTGTCTTCTCCCTGTGTCTTCACACAGTTGTCCCTCTGTGAGTGTCCGTGCCCTAATATCCTCTTAGGGCCCACCCTAATGATCTCATTTTAATTCTATAAAGACACTATTTCCAAAGAAAGTCACATTCTGAGATACTGGGGGTTAGAACTTCAATATACAAATTTTGAGAGGACACAACCCAACTCACAACAAAGACCTTGCTGTGCAGTAAAGCAGAGATATCTTTTAGGTTCTTAGCACTCAGAGTTGACAGTTGAGGAAAGACCAAGGTTGAGCATGTCATTTTTTTGTTTTGTTTTGTTTTTTGAGATGGAGTCTCGCTGTGTCACCCAGGCTGGAGTGCAGTGATGTGATATCAGCTCACTGCAACCTCTACCTCCTGGGTTCAAGCAATTCTCCTGCCTCAGCCTCCTGAGTAGCTGGGACTACAGGTGCACACCACCATACCAGGCTAAGTTTTTTGTGTTTTTAGTAGAGATGGGGTTTCACCATGTTGGTCAGGCTGGTCTCAAACTCCTGACCTCAAGTGATTCACCTGCCTCAGCCTTCTAAACTGCTGAGATTACAGGTGTGCGCCACCACACCTGGCAAAGATGTCATTTTTAGGAGGCAGAAATTGAAGACATGTGATATGGTTTGGCTGTGTCCCACCCAAATCTCATCCTGAATTGTTGTTCCCATAATCCCCACATGTTGTGGGAGGGACCTGGTGGGAAGTAATTGAACCATGGGGGAGGTTGCCTCCATGCTGTTCTTGTGATAGTGAATTGTTATCAGATCTGATGGTTTTTTAAAAGGGGCTTCCCCCTGTCCCCTTTCACTCTGCCCTTCTCCTTGCTGACACCATGTAAAGAAGAAGGTGTTTGCTTCCCCTTCTGCTGGCATTGTAAGTTTTCTGGGGCCACTCCAGCCCTGCAGACCTGGGAGTCAATTAAACCTCTTTCCTTTATAAATTACCCAGTCTTAGGCTGTCTTATAGCAGCGTGAGAACGGACTAATACAACATGTGATAGCTGATGATCCCAGAAACAAAGTCTAGAGAAATTGGGTGAGGATGCCAGTCTTGAGTGTTTTTGGTCATTGACAAGGTAAAATAAAATTTCTTAAAACGTTTTCCTACTTTTGCTATAGAAGCTTGATTTGTGAAATAGTGTTTGGAGAGTTGTAGTATAAATATCAATGCAGAGTGAATTAAAAAACAGAAGAAATGGATAAACCAGATTTACAATCATTAAGTAAATCAAAATTGGTAGTTAAAAAAATTTAGCATGACCAGGCCCAGATGATTTAACAGGCAAATTGAACAATTGAAAAATAGGCAGCAGGTAGATTTTTCTGGATTTACAGAGTGTATCCACCCCAGCATATCCACTTCTCTGAGCCTTCTCACCTCTGTCTTTCGTGGGGAGTTGTCACTTTTTCCATACTTACAGGAGCTTACCTTGAATCTGATTTGAACTATCTTCTGGAATCCCTGTTAGGCTGTTAAATCCTGTATCCTGTGAGGATCCTCCTGCATTGATAATAAACCTCTCTCATCTAACCTTAGGTTCTACTTGGAAATGGAGACCCTTTAGTATCCAGCCCCATGGATATCTCAGGACTTCTGCCCATATATGTGGCTATATTCTGTGGCTCTTCCCCTATTAAGTCATAAGGTCCCTGGCTGAGGTAGGCTGTGGTGAACCTCATCATTGGCCTGGCCACCAGGAAACAAGGTGTGAGCTGATCAGGGGGTTTTAGGGCACTACAGTCTTGTGGGAGAGCAGTCTCTGCCTTCTCTCCAAGCAAGGGGCCAGTGCTTTCCCTTCCTAGGGAGGGCTGGGCCACTCTGCACACTCAGATTGTGCAGGGGCATCTGGGGATTCAGATAAAAAGAGAAATGGGCAGAGGGGAACAAGAAAGGGGCACAGAGAGAGAAGCTGGGATGAGTCACGAGAGCACAGAAAGAGGGGCAGAGACACGGCTGGTTGCCAGCAAGGTCTCAGGATCAATAGGAAGACCATTGTTGGAAGGAGGAAGATTTCCCCAGTATTTTGTGTGGGAGCTCCAGTTGGAAGCTGGAAGCTCTGCTCTTTTGCATCTTAGCGTGAAGACGGGGACCATGGGTTCATCTCTCCCAGGCAGCTCTTCATTTTGTTGTTTTATTTTCTTTTTTGATTTTTATTTAGAAATTTTCTACATTTCCTAAAATCTTAACTTTTATATCATTGTTGGTGTCCAGTAAATTAAGAGAAATGTGGCAAAATGACATGGAATCCAAATACATCATCAAAGAGATATTTTATTTGTAAACAAATTACTCTCTAAGGTCTTAAAATCTGCCCCAAGTGTTCTCTCTGCACGTGAACAGGCGGAATAATTGTGATAAAATGGAAGAGCCCAGCAGGTGGGGTCTGTGAGATCATTCAGCTGACTCCTGCAGACAACGTGCTCTCTCTCTCTCTGCCCCCACACTAAGGGTGCACTCCTTGTTCATCTCCAGGACGGTGTCAGCAAATGCTGCCTGGGGCATGCTGGTGATCACTGTGTCACTTTGGGTCAGGAAACACATTCTGGAGAGGACAAAGCAAGTGAACAGGCCTTGTACGCTGAGTGGAAGGCCTTTTATCTCCAAAAAATCAAACCAGAGAAATTAAAAAATATCTTGAAACAAAAGACAAGGGATACACAAATATAAAAACTTGAGGGTTCCAGGGACCAGAGGGCTTCTGCACCTTAGCCTGTTTCCTGCTTTGCTAAATGAGCAGATGTGTGATGTGCTCTCTTTGGTCCCATCGCTTCCTATTGTGATTCCTCCACCCTGGGCACTTGCTGTCATCCTGTTCTGCCGGCTGCTGCCTCACTCAACAAAACCTGTCGACTTCGACTAAGGTCAAGATTCATGGGTCGACCTTAGTACCACCTGCCATTGGCCCCAGGACCATGCCCTGTGCCACCACCCAGGCCCCAGAGCCCACGGCACAGCAGGTTCACCCTGAGGACATCTGAACAGGTCTTTTTTCACAAGAGGACAGAAGAAAGGATAGCGACACTGAGCTCCAATGCCGTGAAGAGGAGCATCACAGACAGGATCCTCTGAAATGCAGGATGCACGAGGTCTGTGCTGGACTGGCCAACCCTTCTGCCTTCCTGAGATGACCAGATGGGTTTAGACAGTGTCATCTGCTGGCTCCTCTTCCCTCGTACCTGACTCAACCTGCTCATGATCTGGGAGACAGTGTCATATCCTAGTATCCTGGGCCACTCCAGGGACAGCAGTACAGGTGGCAGGTGACACCCAAGGTTGAGCTGAGCCTCCTGAGTCTTCATTCATCTGGCCTCCATGGAGAGTCTCCGCCTGTCTGGGTTTCAATTTCGTCTTCTGTAAGATGGGGACTTCCCACTCACCCCTTAGGGCGGTTTGCAGGTCCACAGAGGTGGTGAGGCAGAAGGCCTTCCTTTGTAAACTGAGCGCCAGCACCTGCTACCCACCTATGCTCCCTGGGGTGGGCCTGCTTGGCTTGGCTGGGAGGCAGCAAGGGGCACCTTGACCAATCAAAGTGATGTGCTGGCACAGTTGCTAATTCTCACGCCAGTCCCCAGGAGCTATCTGCCTGAGGAGGAGAACAATTCTGCTTCCCTGGGTCACCTTCCATGGAACAATGACTTCCAAGTAGAACAGGTAAGGCCACAGGTGGGCAGAATCTAGAATTTATTTGTACAGACTGTGACTATAGTGGGTTAGTGTCCCCCCTCAAATTCATGTCTACATAGAACCTGAGAATATGACCTTATCTGGAAATATGGTCTGTGTAGGTGCAATTAGTTAAGGATCTCAAGGTGAAATCATCCTGGATTTAGGGTGGACCCTAAATGCAATAACTGGTGTTCTTATAAGAAGAGAACAGGACACAGAGACAAACAGAGGGGAAGGCCTCATGAGGATGGAGACAGAGGTTAGAAAGACGTGTCCAGAAGCCAAAGAATGCCTGGAGTTCCCCAAAGCTGGAAGAGACAAGAAAGAGTTTTTTCCTAGAGCCTTCAGAGAAAGAGCGGCCCTGCCGACTCCTCGATCTTGGACTTTGCTTTCAGAACTGTGAAGGAATTCAATTCTGTTGTTTTCAGTCACCAGTTTGTGGTCCTCTGTTATTGTGGCCATGGGAAATGAACACAAGGACCCCTCAGGCAGGGGTTGCCGCTTCTCAGCTCTTCCTGAGAAGCTCCTGAGCCAGAGAGCTCAGGCTGGTTTCTGAGGAGCTCATCCTAACCCACTACACAAACCCCATCCAGCCGCTCAGCAGATGCCTCCCCTGCCCCTCAACCCTCCACTCCCATTATAGCTGCTCCATCTATGGGAGGATGGCCTGAAGCCAGCGATGAGGGGATGGGACAACGGCCAGGCTGTGCACACATTCCCCCTGCCTGCTGCCTCTCCACCCCTAGAATATCCCCCTCTATGGCTGCAGGAATGCAAACTTCCTCTGCCTTCTTTTCTCAGTGTTCCACACACATGTTCTCTTGACTTTATTGACTAAACACATTTTAGAGCAAATACTGATGCTCAGACTGGCTCTAATGCAACAGAGAATGCGAAACCACATTCTGTCATTTTCATAAAGTTCTGATTGCAAACAACAATTAAAAAGCCCATTCCGTATTTGTTTCCTGATTTTTTGGGGTCATTTTTGGCCATCCCATCCATTTTTGTGCATGTGGTGGAATTAGGATTTAGCCTCTTGCAGCCTCCCTTGACCTGTGGCTCTTGCCTGGCTGAACCTGGGCACTGCCAGCCTGTGGCCACCCTGTTTATGAGGTTCCTATGTCTCCCTGAGCTCTTGGCCTTTCTTGAGCAATTCGCTACCCTGACCCTAGAGTTCTTGCTTGGAAAAACCCATCCCTTGAGACTATGACAGTTAAATCAGTTTGTTTATTAAGGTGCTCAAATTGAAACCAAGTTGTTGGTTATGTCTTTTTGCAACTACAGTCTTGCTTGATATTGTACTTGAACAACTCTTTTGGCACAGTCCAGTCAAATGCCTGCTATTCTCCCATGTGTGGGTTCCTGTGTTCTGCCTCTTTCCGCATGGTCCACATCAGAAGGAAGCAGTGAACAAGAAGCAGAAAATCTCAAAGACTTCACTAGTCTGGAAGATTCTACCTAAAAATACTCACCAGTAAGCTGGAGCTGGCCACAAAGCAGCTGGTGGTCTCATTCTTCGAAAAGTAGTGGCTGTCTTGGGGCACTGATGGGCAGGCACCACCAGTTGGCACTGTCTGGCAGCTGGGAACACCCCGGCTAGGTGATAGGGAAGGACAATGAGGCCCACTGTGGCAGCCATGGGGCTTAGGAGGCTGCTGATCAGGCTGTTCCAGGCCTGCAGGGGATCTGGTCAGGGTCTGCTCCTGAGCAGTTCATGCTCCTGGGGCACCACGATCCCACCAGGCCAGCAGCAGGTTCTCACATCCAGGATCCTCAGCAGGATGGGACTTCCTCTTCTGTTATACGATTTGATTAATTTTGTTCACTCTCAACCCCTCTCAGAGCTCCCCAAGCCTACAGGCAAATGCTTGCTTGATGAACGACACATGAAAGCGTGAATGAAGCAGAGACTTATGGTGGGACAGACAGGAGATGTGGTTCTGGTAGCTTCTCCACCCAGGACTGAGCAGGGCTAGAGGAAGAGGAAGATATGTATAGAACTGATGTCCCATTGGACTGAACCGAACAGAGAAAATATTGCAATGCCCACAGTGCTTGATAAATCACAGCTTCCCTGACCTCCAAGCCCCCTGCTGGCTTTACCCAGTCCACTGGCACCCTGAGGAGGTTCCTCCAGCCATCTCCCCTAAGCCTAGCCAGAGGCCTCCTGCCTCATCCTGAGCTGAGGCTGTCATCAGGTGGGTTCCCAGACATGCTCTTTCCTATCACCTGGCTCTGTCTGCAGCACCCCTGCATGGTAGAGCTCGAGGCCAAGGGGCCTGCTCACCCAAGTACAACAGATGCCCCCACAGCAGCCTCTGTCATATGGGGACAGCAGCAGGGTTGGTGCTCTTTCCTGTTCTTTTCATCCACTCCACTTTGTGAAAAGGGTGCCCTGGCAGGAGGGCCAGGGAGCATGGGGTACGAGGGCTCAGTGTGGGGGCAACAGCACCTGGGGCCGAGGGTGGATGTTCAGATCCCGGCTGGGGCACGGCCCAGAGGTAGGCTGAGAATCACAGCTGCGCCATGGGGGGCTACCTCCCCTCGAAAGTAGGAAACCTGGATTCCAGTTTTGCAGTGTCCAGACTCACTTTTCAAAGACCAACACCAGGGGAGGAATAGGCTGATGTCTGTGGTGGCTTCTGGGACACCTGGGCTAGGTGTTCCAGCCCGTCACAAACAGCCCATGGCACGTGTGCTCAGGTATGCCCAGCAGCCTCTGGCAAAGATCCGGGCCCTCTTCCCAGGGGCTCAATCTCAGAGCTGGGCAGTGATGGGGGAAGAGATGGAAAAAGGTCGTGGGCCATTTCTCCATACAGCCCCAGGGATTCACAACTCGTGTTGTCAGAATGTTCTGAGAAAGTCCCTTTTTTTCAAAGAAGAGGTCCCTGAGGATGGTGGCGGGTGAATTTCCTAGGAGCCTAAGTGGCCCTGGAACACCGTGGTCCCCACCTTGTGCCGCCGTCTGCCTCACCCAGCTGCTGCTTGCTCTGTAGGGCTGGTGCTCCTGCCCTTGTTTAGGGGATCCACACAGGCTGCTTTCCTGGAGGGCTCAGGGGAGGCTGAGGGTGGGGATGAAGAAGGGCATCTGATCCTTTGAGGGAGGTCTGAGAGAATGACAGTGTCCAAACCTGGCACTGCCACCTTGAGGCTTGGCTGCCAGTTTCTTGGCAGCTTCTGTGTCAGGACAGGGAGACCCCCAAATCCCAGGTCACCAGAATCTCCACCATACCCATCTCTGTCCCCCAACCCATGCCTCTTAGCCTCCTAAGAAAGGCCTGGAAATGATTCTGCAAAAGTTTGTCAATCAGATGTGCACCCATCACTGAACACCCCCTTTTCACTCTGCACCCTTCCTGGCCCCCACCAGCAAGGCTCATCTCTTTTGATTGATGCTTTTCTCACCCAGGCTGTGGTGCACAACTAACAGCCCATGCTCTCACTGTCCTCTTTCCCCTGTGCTCACCAAGGACCTGAACCCCGGTGGTCAGTGAACACCAAAGGGTGTCATGATGAGGCAGAATTTTCCCATAAAGCCACCCAGAGCCTGGAGAGGGTACAGGACTCTCTTCAAAATGAGGATCATGAAAGGTGTCCCCCAGATCAGTGGGCCCTGTGTACTTCCACAGGGCCACTGACCAAAGGACACTTGTCAGCAACCTGGGGTTCAGTTCCTTTGTCTGAACCTTGGAAAGATCCAACTGGATGAGGTTCCGCTAAAGTCTCTTTTTAGTAAGTGAGGCACTGTTGTTCCTATACTCACCAGATGCTTGTTTGATTTTCTTCCCAAAATGACAGACAGCAATCCAGAAATGATAAACTACTCAGAAAAGAGGAAAATGGTAAAGTCAGTTTCCACATGAACAAGCACCCCGATGTCCCTACCACTGAATTGTCACGTCCTTGTACACCTCCAGGAACTTCCCCACAGGGCTGACATTATTGGGCATGCTGGAAGCTGGGCCAAAGTCCAGGCCATATGTGGCTACAGGCCAATGTTGGGGGAAGTGGATATAGGAGGCCAAGCCACCCCTAGAATCTCATGAGAACCTGACTCAGCTGGAGAGGAAGTTCTTCTAGGGCAAAGACAAAGGGGCTTAAGGCCCAGGCTCCCCAACAGGGACCAGGGAACAGTGATTTTCAAGGGAGAGAGGGCAGGTAAATGTTACAAGACTCTATTTAGATGAAGATGTTGTGGTGGGGAGAGAAAAGCCACGCGGGCTTTGAACTGTCAGTTCCATGGGCTCTACCAGAGTCAGAGTTAAGGACAGAAGAAAAAGGGGGCCCAAATAAAGGGAAGATTTTGAGGCCAGGTTAACAGCTAGAAAAAAACTGTTGATTCTGGGTTATTACAGAAAAAGTGTTCTGTGGTAATGCAGTAATTTGAAATAGCTGCAATGTACGAAAACTACATGGCATGGTGGCAAGACTATAAAAAAAAGTTTTTCTGGTCCTACCAAGAAAATAGCCAGATAGAGAGGGAACAGGGAGGTTTGTGACTCAGTGGTCAGAGGATGCTCAAAAGCCACCGTGAATGCAAGAGGCTGCGGCTGGGGCGTGAAGACAGGTCTAGGCTGTGGGAAAGCCTCATTCACATTTCACAAGACTGAAAGCTTTCTCCTGAAGCTTCTTGCTGTGGCCTGAATGTCTGTTGCCCCCAGATTTCATGTGCTAAATACCTAACCTCCAATGCGATGGTATCTGGAGGTGGGGTCTTTGGGAGGTGAGTAGGTCGTAAGGGTGAAGCCCTCATCAATGGGATTACTTCCTTTATAAAAGGAACCCAGAGAGATTCCTCTGCCCTTCCACCACATGAGGACACAGCGAGAACGCTCTATCTATGAACAAGCAACAGCCTTCACCAGACACCAAATCTGTCGGTGTCACGATCTTGGACTTCCAGCCTCCAGAACTGTGAGTAATAGATGCTTGCTGTTTATAAGCCACCCAGCTTATGGTATTTTTGTTAAAGCAGCTCAAGCCGTCTAAGACACTCCTTGATTCCAGGAGCCTGGGGGATATTCAGGACTCCGAGGCTATGTCTGGAGCGTAACTCTGCAGAAGGCCTTCCACATGCCAAGAGATGACAAGCAGCAGATAGAGCTTCTAAGTGCTCCATGCCACCTCTTCAAGCTCAGTATATGCTCTACTGACCCCACTGGTCCTGCTGGCCCCATAGACAGGGCCACAAATGCACCAGCCTGGCCACCCCACTGTGTGCCCTGTCCACCCCATTTCTCACTTGCTGTCTGCCCACCTCACTCCTACTCCTTGTGTCACCTGAACTTAGGGAGAAGTAGGGTGACCCTATGTCCAGTGTGTCAGGGACAGTCCTGGGTATTCCTGTGATCATGGCATAAATAGTAATAGCACACTCTTTTATTCTTATAGTGTCCCTGTTGAGGCTACACATGCTATTGTCACCCCAGAGAGAAGCTGCAGGGCTCCCAGGGCCCTCGAGGATGGCACTATGAGGATTTTGGAAGAACTGATATTTGAGCCAGATGATCAATTCTGTTCCCATTGGCAAAACCCCTTCTCCTGCCAGGCCTTCTCTCACTCCTGGCTGATTGCCCTCAAAACAAGTTCCATTCCTGCATCTTTGCTCTCCACAGAGACATTGCTAGGTAGCATATCAGTTGTCTGTGCCCTGCTCCATCCCAGAGACCACCCTCCATGAACACCCATCCTACTCACATACTTGGCTCCTACGAATGGGTATCCAGACCTCACCAAGGTGAGAACCACTGGGCCAAAGTGACAGGGAAAGGAAGTACATGCCAAAAGGATCCCCATGCTCATAACTGCAAAGCCACAGAGGATCTGGATGGTCTGTTAGGGAAGAAGGGTCACCTGGTGTGACCTCAGAAAGATATGTTCAAGTCCTAACCCCTGATACCTGGGAATGTGATCTTCTTTGGAAATAGGGTATTTGTAGATGTCATTGGGATGTCAGTTAAGATGAGATCAGAGTGGAGCAGGGAGGGCCTTTAATCCAGTATGACTGGTGTAGGTACAAGACAAGAGAAACAGGCAGATGCTGGCAGAGAGAATGTCACACAAAAACGGAGGCAGAGGTGGGAGGGATGCAGCTGCAACCAAGGAGAGCCAAGGACTGCCAGGATACACCAGAGCTGGGAGAGAAAGCCTGGCCCTGCCCAGACCTGGATTTCAGACTATGGCCTCTGGCCTCCAGAATTGGGAGAGCATGAGTTTCTGTTTTGTTTTGTTTTTTTTTTGTTTTTTTTTTTTAAAGCCATCTGGTTTGTGGTAGTTTGTTACCATGGCCCCAGGAAACCAACTCACTGGGTGAGTCAATCAAGGGCCAGTCATTGTCAGTTTCCCCAGGGAAGCGGAGTGCTGGAACTCTCTGTGCAACCCAAGGAGATAGTGCGGAAGCAGGAAAAGCGTCTCAGGGGCATGGGAAACCAAGCACGCAGGACATGCTCCCAGCCCTTCCCAGTGCTGGCTGAGATCAGCGTGCAGTGAAATGCTGGGTGTTTCTGTCTTTAGCTCTGAGCTGTGGCAGTGGGATCCCAGGTGATGACTGGTCACAGCCCAGGAGGTTCCCATGCCCTTTGCTCCCTCTCCCTCCTGGGCACAAAGAAGCACTTAGGAGACAGCAGGTGGGGCAGGAACTGGCTCCCACTCTCTGCAGGATGAGTGGACACAGGTACCTCTGTTCGGGGCATGGCTCCTTGTGGGAGACAGACCCCAGAGCTGTGACGGGGTCCCAGGCAGCCTCTGAATCAGCCTCAGAATATTTCTACCACAAGAGTTCACATTCTTGCAACATTTACCAAGCAACCTCCTACCTGTTCTAACAGCGGAGTCAGCCCAGAAAGCACTTTTCAACCCAAGGTTAGGTGTGGCCTGGGGATTGAAGGAACAGCTGAGGCTCCCACAAGTAGGGAGGTGCTGGCCCTGGGCCCCAGGCCCTTCCCCCTGGTGCTTGTGTTGCCCAGCTCCTTCTTTCCATTTCCCCCTCCTCCCTTTGGTCATGCAATGGAGTTGTATTTCTTTAAAAATCATGGATCGTATGAGAGATATTGGAAGGCAGACTAAGGGCACATATCTGTTTTCAAATGGTTAATTTCTCAAGAAGGGAGAATAGGAGATGAATTGTCTATAATTTTTAGAAAGAAAAAAAAATCCCTGGGAAGTAAAATCTAGAATAATTTATTCAACAGACTATTTTTTTTCTTTTGCCTCCAAATAAAGTGTATGCAAATATGTTATTATTCCCTTAAAATGAGTTAAGCAGCCAAAGTTTTATATCTCAGGTGAATGCTCCCCATGAGCACAAAACTGGGAAATCTCTTACTTTCTTGCGGAAAATGACTAGGTGGTCCCAGAGGCCTCCCCCGACGCCTCCAGAGCAGCCTGGAACTCCTTAAGCCAAAGGCTCTGTCTCCAAAGTGACAAAGTGTCCTCCTGGCACCCACTCAGCCTCTGCCCTTTGCTTGGCTGTTCTTACCCCAAGCACCTGGGCCTTTTTCTTCAGATTTTTTTCTCACGTTGTCCTGGTTGAGAGGCTCCAGATTCTCTGTGAGGTGCTCAAAGATGCAACTTTGTGGAAACACCACACAGTATCCACTGGGCAGGGCTCTGGACCCGGATAGGGATTGCTGCTGCTGCTGCCAGACAGGCGCGGAGCCAGGTCCGACTCTGGACCGAGACTTAACATTGCAAACTTCCCAAGCTTCAGATTTCCTTGGGTAGTCAACTAGAATCCCCCAGTCATCCCAAGGCGACCAGGGTTCTAGGAAGGAACCTGGGAACAGGGGTGCCTCAAAACCCTGGCGTAGTGAGAATTCTCATGGGTTCTTGGCATTGCACAACACCTGTTGACAGCACAGCCTGCCCTGAGGAGGGTCACAGCAGAGAGAGCAGACCAGCCTGCCTGCAGGTGCCCAGCTTCACCTTCATACTGGTCATGAATTTCCTGCCGTCCCTAACAGGCTTGGGACATGCTCCCTCCAGCCCAATTTCAGGATTGGATGCTTTTCAAATTCTGCTCTCCATCCCTTCTTATGCCAGGTCCATTCCTTTCAGGACATCCAGTTAGCACTGCCCTGCTTCTATAACCCAAATATTACGTGATTCTTCGTAGGAAAACCAATTGTTGGTGTCAGAGCTCTCTGAGCACTGACAATAGGCTAGGCTTCATGCTAAAGCAGTGCTGTTCCTTACACGCAGCAAGGCCCGTAATCAGAGTCCGAGGTACTAGTTCTAAATGAATAAGACATTCTTAGCCCAGAGACGCCTAGCCACAGCATGGCCTCTGTATGAATGTGTAGTAAATGTAAGCAATTACGAGTAATGCCAGGTTTAACTGTCACAGCCGATGTGACAAAGCCCGCTGGCTCTGGGTCTTTTCTCTTTTTACCTCCTCAGCTCCCTTCTTCCCCCTCTTGTAGTGTAAGGCAGCTGCATATGGCAGAAAGAGAATGTGGTCCAGCCCGTCCCCTGGTCTCTGCAGCTGAGCCCAGGCCCCACCTGCCCCAAGGGCTCTGTTCACTGCATCAGCCCCTTCTAGGACAGCACAGTGGGGAAACAGTCTGAAGTTGCCCAGAGAGAGGAGGCTCCTGCTCCTGTGGCCCTTTATCCTGCGTCTGAGCTTGCAGGATGTTCTGGGATCTCTGGGCTGGAGTGGGCAACACCTGCAGCTCAGAAACCATGTCCCAAATTAGGCACGTGAAGGAGTCTGGTGGAAAAAGTATTGGGCCACAGAAACAAGGCTGCTGGGTACCTTTCCCAATCTCACAGACAGCGTCCTTCAGAAGAGACCCCAACACTGACGTTGGCAGATATCTCTGAGGGGGCCTGTGTGACTTTCATCTCCTCCAGGACCTCTGGGCTTCATTGGCCCATGTCAACCTGTTCTGCCCTGATTGGCAGGGAACACCCCACATCTCTGGCTCAGGCAGTTATGATGACAAAATTTATAGGGCCCTTCCTGCAGCAGTTCTTTAATTTTTAGAACAAGGCCAGTGGCATTGTGATTGAGTTCAACTGCTGGGGAATCAATTGCATTGAATTTGTGTTGGGTGGTATTGTGTGCACTGAAGACACAGTGCACACATTAAGATCTCAGAACCTCAGAGCTGCAAGGGAGCCCCATTTAGCAGATGAGAAGTTTCTCCTCCTAGGGCTTCAGGAGCTGTAAACATCCACCCCTAGATGCCACCGTGGGGTCGGAGCCCCACAATCTGCCCATCTGTATGCTCCCCTAGAGGTTTGAGCAGTGGGGCACTGAAGAAGCAAGCCACACCCCCATCACGTGCCCCGCGAGGGGAACAAGGGAACTTTTCTCATTTCAAAAGTATAAAACTCACTGTAAAAATAAGAATATAGTACAATTCAGACTTCTCTCATACTCTGATGGCATAAGTCACTTTTAATTCTAGTATAAAATTAAAAGATAAAATAAAACAATTATAGCCATAATAATTTGTTGGTGGATACAGAGTATGAAAAGATGTAAATTGTGACATGAATAACATAAAAATGTGTAGAGAGAAGAAGTTAAAGTGTAGGGTTTTTGTATGCAGTTGAAGTTAAGTTATTAGCAGCTTCACATAGACTAAAAACTGTAAGATATTTTATGTAAGTCTTATGGCAACAACAAACAAAAACCTGTAGTAGGTACACACAAGACAAAAAGAGTAAAATCAAAGCATATTACCACACAAAAAAATCATTAAATTACAAAGGAATACAGCAAGAGGAAGAAAGAACAAAATATCTACAAAATAGTCAGAAACCCCTGAACAAATGGCAGTAATAGGTCCTCATCTGTCAATAATCACTTTAAATATAAATGAATTCAATTCTCCATCAAAAGACATAGAGTGGCTGAATGAATAGAAAAAGAAAACCAAGATCCAACTATGTGTTGCATCTGAGGGATTCAATATATCTTTAAGGACACACATAGGCTAAAAGTGAAGGGATGGAAAAAGATGTTCCATGCAGATGGTAGCTAGTAGAGAAGAGGGGTGGCTATACACACATCAGATAAAATAGACTTTCAGTTAAAAACTGCCACAAGATTCAAAGAAGATAATTTTGTAATGATCGAAGGAGTCAATTTATCAAGAAAATATAACAATTTTAAGTGTATGTGCACCCAAGTTCAGAGCACCTAAATATGTAACGAAAATATGAACACAATGAAGGGAGAAACAGACAGCAACACAACATTAGCAGGAAACTTTTATACCCCACTTTCAACAACGGATAGATTGTCCAGACACAAAATCAAAAAGGAAACTTTGGATTTGAACAACACGATAGACCAAGAGGTCCTAAGAGACATTTATGGGACATTACATTCAACAGCAGCAGAATGACCATTCTTCTCAAGCATACACAGAACATTCTCTAAGATAGATCATATATTAAGCCACAAAACAAATCTTAACAAATTTAAGAAGATTAAAATCATATCAAGTCTGTTTTCTGACCACCATGGTAATAAATTAAAAGTTAGTAACAGGAAGAAAATTGGAAAATTTACAAATTTTTGAAAATTAAATAATATCATGTTGAACAATCAGTATGTCAAAGAAGAAACCAAAAGGCAAATTTAAAAACTATCTTGAGACAAACACAAATGGAAATACAACATCCCTAAACTTATGGGATGCAGCAAAATAGTTCTAAGAGAGAAGTTTACAGTGATAAACACCCACATTAAAAATATTATAATATAATTTTGCATGATGTTACCACTGGAAAACTGGGTATGGGATCTGTTTGCATTATTTCTTGCATCTACATGTGAATCTACAATTATCTAAAAATTAAAAGTTGAATTTAAAAAGCCACAAGAATGATAATGTACAGAAGAGCAAGAGGAACAGAGAGATGTAAAACATTTCATTTAATCAAATATTAAAAAAAAAAAGAAGTTGCTGACCCAGTAATTTCACTCCTTTTCGTTGGATATATGCTCCAAAGGAATGCCTGCATTCATTCTAAGACATGCTACAAAACATTAAAATACAATGGTCAAAATATGAAAAGACAAGGGATTTCATACAATATAATCCACCCAAAACAAAATCCAAATTATTTTTTAGAAGTTATTAAAATAGAAACCACATGTTTTTGAATATGTGATTAAAGCATACTTAATACAAAGAGAAAGCTTTGCTAACTGGAAATTAACTATTTGTTTTTGTCTTAAACAACTTTTGGTACTGGAGGATTTTAAAATGAAAATTATTTAGAAAATAGAAATGTTGAGATAATTGCCAGTGGTTATATGTTAATATCAGGAGGGACTTGCAGACACTGGAACAGGACCTCAGTGGGGACATGCAGAGCCATGGGGGCTGGCAGTGCTGGCTGCTGCATGTCACAGGAATAAACACAGAAAGCACATTATTGTTAAAGAAGAGAGCATGAGCAGACACTGAAAATGCTTTAATAAAGATACCAGAGAACAAGATAGTGTTAGTCCATTATGTCCATTACCACACTGCTATAAAGAACTACCTGAAACTGGCTAATTTATGAAGAAAAGAGGTTTAACTGACTTATAGTTCCACAGGTTTAACAGGAAGAATAACTGGGAGGCCTCAGGAAACTTACATTTATGGCAGAACACCAAGGGGAAGCAAGCACCTTCTTCACATGGTGGCAGGAGAAAGAGAGAGAGTGAAGGGGGAAGGTCACACAATTTTCAACCATCAGATCTCATGAGAACTCACTCACTGTCATGAGAACAGCAAGGAGGAAATCTGCCTCCATGATCCAGTTACCTCCCACCAGGCTTCTCCAATTCGATATGAGATTTGGGCGGGGACACAAATCCAAACCATATCATGTGTCTATAAGAAACACAGAGATTTACACTATTGGTATGTAAATGGTGCTACTGAGACCAGATTGGGTACAATGACAAACACTTCCTGTGGATGGTGACGTCTTTTCCAGACTAGAAAGACTGGAAAAGAGAAATCTCCATGTGGACGGCCAGGTGTCAGAAAATGCTTCAATCAATGGATTTAGTTAAACAGCATAAAACAGCTTGCCATGTAGTTATTTTGAAATAAATTACTCAGTCAGGCAGCAAATTCAGGGAAAGTCAGCCAAATAAATATACAAATGTAGACAGAGAAGTCTTCCCAAGAAAAGAAGAGAAAGCAAAGAGAAATGGCATCACCAATGAAAGCACACACAGAGATGTAACTTCAGAAATGGTGTCCAGGGAAAATGTCCTTTCCCATCTTCACATCATCCTCTGGACATTGACCAGCAAGCAGATATTTTCTGACGCAGAAGAAGAAAGGAAGCTCTTCTGATCTGTACAGTGGGCAGATCACATCTCCGTGGGGTGTTCTACAAATGTTTTATTGATCTTTGGTGATGTATTTTTTTTGTCATCCAGTAATTTTTTTCATGCCCCTTGTCAAGATAATTCTCCATCCTTATCTGGTGTGCTTCCCTCCTGGCAGGGTCTAATCTTTGTTGCCTGCTCTGGAGGTAGCAGGAGCCTCAACGGTTCAGAGAAGTCCTATCTCCTTCCTGTAGGCAGCAGAAATTCATTTCTCATGAACATCAAAGTCTTCTTAGTGAGATGGGTGCCTGGTGGGTGAAGTTAAACATGTCCAGGATGGGCCATGGCTACGCCACAGGACCTGAAGGGTTTTATCACAATAGGTGAGGACTGCCCTCAGAGTGTGGCATCAGAGTCAAACTCTGGTATTGTAGCTGCAAACCAGCACTGATCCTTGGGGGCAATCCCTAGGCATCCTGGAAACTCTGGCTACTGATTGAGTTCATGAATGAGATGAATACCTAGAATTTAAGCATACACCTGAATGTGAACCTTGCTTATGCTGAATTTCCTTTTTCAAATTTAAATGTTGAGCTGACACTGATAAAATTAGGCTTCTCCAAACAGCAAGCCAAACTTTGCTTATTTGCTGACAAGCCAGCAGGCCCTTCTATTTCAGAAGAAGTGATGTAGAACCAAGTTCTTAGCAAGCAATGAACTCAGGTGTCTGCCAGGGAATGGCATGCTCATTCACAGATGCATCAGTCCTCATCCCTGTAGGTTGGAAACCCCAGCAATGAAGAATCAATAGAAAGGTCTTCATCATGACTCATCACTCCAAGCTGTCTGTTCTAGAGCAGGGAAATTTCCAGCATGGATCTTTAGCTCCATTTGGGAAGATGGACCAAACCCTGCCCATCTTGGAGAAGAGGTGGCCTGACACTCAAGGTCCCACACACAAGGCTCTTTCCCTCTGTGTGACCATCAGAATCTTCAAGGGATACCTGACCATTTCATTTCTTTCTTTTCTTCCTTCTCTTGACAAGTTAATTGCAGAAGCTGTTGGAATCGCTTCAATAGAACAGATGGCCTGCGCTGGAGAACGTGTGGTGTTACATTAAGGGAGGGGTCTTGTGCTTAAGGGAAAAAAATGAGACCTGAACTAAAACTTCCACAGAGGACAAAGGACGAATTCCTGGAATCAAGTAAAGCAGTGCAGCAGCAGTGACAAAACCTCCAGAGTTCATCAGAAACAGAGAAACTGATTTCAGGGGTCACAAAAGAGTCTGGTGTCTGCATACCAGAGAGAACAAATGTA
The DNA here is from genome assembly GCF_000001405.40 of Homo sapiens. Lineage (NCBI taxonomy): Eukaryota > Metazoa > Chordata > Mammalia > Primates > Hominidae > Homo > Homo sapiens. The sequence continues at coordinate 804,544 of NT_167249.2, read as the reverse complement.
GGTCTTTTTTTTTTCATTCAAAAGATACAGATTACACTTTAAGAGACAGATAATTCCACTAAGTAAAACTCCTCTGAGAAGCACACTTCGTATGTCCAGGAGAAAGGCCATGAAAGGGCACTGTGGAAACTGGGAGGCAGATACAGGTGAGGAGCTTGCAGAGCACCTTGAAGTCCAGGAGCCTCTTGTACTTCAGAGCTGATGGGTGAGAAAAGCCGGTCAGTGTGGGAGGAACAGAGTGGGGCATAACACCCTTCAGCATGCATCAACATGACTGTGGGATTGTGGGGAAAAGGCTAGGAGGGGTGACAAGAGACAACAGAAAATGTTATTCTACACTTAAGCAAGACATTTTCTCTCAGGGTAACAATACGTCATTGGTGTTGATTTTCAGTGCCTGTCCTAACTAGGATCAGGTGGCAAAACAGGACACAAGATATTGAGAGTCCAGGGGACTCCATGCCCAGAGACTGCATATTCACATGGTAAGTGACCAAGAAACTGTTACATGAAGATGGTGGGTACAAACCATCTTTGAACAGAGAAAATGAAATAACTGTTTACAGAACATCAGCCCTCGGGACAACTCAGTTGGAAAATCAATAATCTAGAAATGTGCATTCTTAAAGTGAATGTGGCAGGTGAGATCAGAGCAAGGGAAAAGTACTGAGAAGGTAAAATGACAGTGAGCTCATGGCAACCCCGAATCTGAGTCCTAAGACATCAGTCAGTGCACAGGGTTGACCCGATGTGTGTCAGAAAGACAGGCAGAATCTCTCAGACCTGCTGTGGTCCCTGAGAGTTGAGAATGCAGGTGAAATGTGGACACAGAAGTCCCAATACATACCCATGCCTGTAATAGGAGGACACTCTTTTCAAACTGTGAGGGCTAGGGCCAAGCTTTTCTTACTGAGGTGAAGAAAGGGCCACATTACTGGCTTCTCTCTGCACAAATTGTATTGGAACACCCCTCAAGGGGTGCTTTCTTTGGGAGTGAAGCATGGTGAAAGCTTTTGCCTGAGGGGTTCTCTGAATTTGATCTTGATCTTGTGTTTATCAAGAGCAATGCCATGAAGTTCAGCTCACTAGAAACTGACTCAACATATCCAACTTGGAACTGGGTCTACTCCTTGCAAGGCCCTATTCCCTGTCCCTAGGATGAGGGAGTCAGGGGCTGCCAGGGCTATGCGGAGCTCTGACCAGAGTAAGAGAAAGGAGCCCTATGGAGACAGGAAGGACCTGCCTGGGCACATAAAGCCACAGTGGAGCAGCTGACCATGTGATAAACCTCGGGATGCTCAGCTATCTGTCCCCACAGATAGAAGCCACTCATTGGCCAGAAGAAAAACAAGGAGCACATGGGAATCTTGATCAAAGTTGCTCAAGGTCCAGTAACTTCTGGAAGCCCAAGAGAGAGCTCATATTCAGAGGACAGGAAGACAATTCCAGACCATTGGTCCACAGAGGTGTCACCTGTCCTTCTGTGTCTGTGTCAGCCTCACTGCCCCCTGACTTACCCCTGCCCCCAGGAAAAATGTCACAGGTAAGATGAGAACTGTGTTCTCTCTTCATCTGACTCTCTTTCTCATCTCTCTAATTCGGAGGAGTTTTTGCAAGGATTTTAGATGTGTTTTCCCCAAGGGAAAGAACATTATCAGGACAGTGCAACCCTTCATTTGAGGACTGGGGACTGGAATCCATCCTTGCTTATTCTTTTTTTGTGTGCGAATTTTGCTTCATTTTGGTAAGAATTCTTGACACGAGATCTATTATCCTAATAATTTTAAGTGCACAGTAGTGATCTTTAAAATGCAAATCCTTGGCTGGGCATGGCAACTCATCCCTGTAATCCCAGCAATTTGTGGGGTCGGGGTGGAGGGGATCTCTTGAGCTCAGGAATTTGAGACCAGCACAGGGCAACAAAGGGAGACTCCCATCTCTACAAAAAGAAAAAAATTAGAAAATTAAAAAAGAAACCTAGCCAGATGTGGCAGCACACGCCTGTGGTCCCAGCCACTCAGGAGGCTGAGGTGGAGGCATCGATTGGGCTGGAGAGGTGGAAGCTGCAGTCAGCAGTGATTGCATCACTGCACTCCAGCCTGGGGGTGAGAGAGTGAGACCTTGTCTCTAAAGAAATAAATAAATCCAGATAATATTATTATCTGAGCTTAAAACTTTCCAACACCTGGACATTGCACTTAAAATTCAAACTTCTTATCTTGGCCTATATGATTCCACACCTGCCTACCTCTCTAAAAGCTTATTTCTCTCACTCTCTCTTTCCCTCCCTAAACTTCAGCCACACTGGCCTTCTTTCTTTTCTTCAACCATACGACTGTTCTTCCTATGCGCCTTTGTACTTCCTGTTCCCACTACCTGCAGCACTATTCCTCTAGATATTCCCAGGATTGGCTTCCTGAAAAAGCCAGAAAATATTGTCAGCTCAGAAAGGACCAACCTAAGTGGCTCACTGTCTTTCCCGTTTTCCTTAAGATAGTCCATCCCACTGCCACTTTTTTTTTTCCTTCAGAGTAGTAAGCACCGTCTGAAATGATCCAATTTACTGCATTTGCTTATTGACATTCATCTGTCCCAACAGGACAGTATTTATTCATTCATCTCTCACTATATGCTCATCACTGTTCCATGCACTTACATGCTATCCACCCATTTAATTTTCAAACCCACAAGTAGGTATTATCAGTATTCTAATTTTGCAGAGGAAATACCAGAGGCTCAAAAAGATGAAGCAGCTTCAGTTGCAAAAACATTCCAGTACACTGTTGTTAACTATAGGCAACTACTACTTTTGTGCAGTAGAGCTCTAGTGCTTATCTATTTTGTTAAACTGAAACTTTATGCCCACTGACTACTAGCTCCCTACTTCCTGTCCTACAGCCCAGGGAACAACCATCCCACTCTTTGTTTCTATGAATTTGACTATTTTAGATACCCTATTTAAGTGCATGCAGGATTTATTCTTCTATGACTGGCTAATCTCACTTACCATAATGATCTGCAGGTTCAACTATGTTGTCATATATGACAGAATTTCTTCCATTTTTTTTTTGAGATGGAGTCTCCCTCCCCTGCCCAGGCTGGAGTGCAGTGGTGTAATCTCGGCTCACTACAACCTCCGCTTCCCAGGTTCATGCAATTCTCTGCTTCAGCCTCCCAAGTAGCTGGGATTACAGGCACCTGCCACCATGCCCAGCTAATTTTTGTATTTTTAGTAGAGACGGGGTTTCACCATGTTGGTCAAGTTGCTCTTGAACTCCTGACCTCGTGATCCATTCACCTTGGCCTCCCAAAGTGCTGGGATTATAGGCGTGAGCCACCACACCTGGCCAAATTTCTTCCTTTTTAAAGGCTGAATACTATTCTATCTTATGTTTATATCACATTTTCTTTATCCATTCATTTTTTGATGGATTTTTAGGTTGTTTCCACATTTTGGCTATTGTGAATAGTATTGCAGCAAACATAAGAGTGCTAATATTTCTTTGAAAACCTGATTTCAATTCTTTTGGACAAATACTCAGAAGTGGGATTTCTGGACCATACGGTGCAGTTCTACTGTTAATTTTTTGAGGAATTTCCATACTGCTTTTCACAGCAGCTGCGCCATTTTGCATTTTCACCAACAGTGTGTGAGGGATCCCTTTCTCCACATCCTCATTAGCACTTGTTATCTTTTGTTTTTCCAGAATGGCCATCCTAACAGGCGTAAGGTGCTATCTAGTTGTGGTTTTGATTTGCATTTCTTTGATGAGTCATCTTGGCCTGTCCTTGACTGGAGACACATTTTGGAAGCTGTTGGCACTCTCTGTTAATGGACATTTGGGTTATTCCCTCCCGTTCTCCCCTGAACTGGCTCTTCCCAGGTTAGTAGGAGGAAGAGTGTGTACTTGGTGCTGCAGGACTAAGATTAAGCCCTAGTGAAATCTGTAACATCTTTTTGGGCATTCCCATGGATCAGCTATAGCAACTCATTTAAGGATTTTTTTCTTGTTACAGATACATCCTGCTTTAGTGAGCTCAGCTTCTCTGGCAACTTCATCTGTGAAGCTGTCTTAAAGTATGAGAAGTCATTATCAGTGTTCAGGATCTCAGGAAAGGATGGTCTGATCTCTTTGGGCCCAGAGCGTTTCACCTCTCAAGCATCCTAAGTTCTTCAGTGTTCTGGACTCCATAGTGGGGCATCAAGGGTCATCAGGGCTGATTCTCAGAGGCCTAGCCAGCTCAGCCGAAATGTCCAAGGCTCAGGCAGTGGGCCCTGGACAGGGGATGTTGGCATCCTCCAATGAAATGATTCCATCCATCTTCCTGAGACAGGAAGGTGGACAGGAATCTCTCTAAGGAAGACACATGAGATCTCCTCTAGTCTGTGGTCAGCCTTGAGGTACCACACCTGCCCAAGGTGAGCAGGTTTTTGGCTAAGGGTGAATGGTTCATATCAGTTCTCCCCTACCCTGGATGCATTGTCTGAGGTGTTTTGCATGCTAGGCTCTTGGCCTCTGTCTCAGAGTCTTGAAAAGAGACAGAGCAGAGCTCTCCTGCTCACAGTCTGTATCTGCACTCATCCAGGATCTTCCACTTAAACGAGCTCTCAACATCATGGACAAACTTCCAGCATGTGAGTAGATTCACATCTGAGGCTACATCTTTGGTGTTTGCAAAATAGTGATAAGGATTCCATGGTTGAAAGAGGAAGCTGTGGTCAGGCCCCACCACTCCAGGGACAGTAGCTCAGTGCTGCTCTGAAGGGGCCTGGCTGCCCCTTTCTGTCCACTGATGGCTGAGATAAGAATATTCTCCAATCTTGAAAATGGCTTATAAGTCTTTAACTCTCTAGAGTTGCAGGGACCTTCTTGGGGTTTATTAACGCAATAATAGAAAAATAGTTATTGCACTCAAGTTGCTTAAGAGGCCCTCTCTGGACAGGAGCATCAAAGATTAACAAAGCAGATGAAGCCACTTGCCCCAGGGTGGTGAACTTGCTGAGCCTGCCTGTGGCTCTTTCCTTCTGGCTGTCACCTGGTTGCTCCAGTAGGTCATTCAGATCTCCATGTCCTACTAAGAAACTCCCCTCATTTATCCCACTAGGAAACATCCATTACCCTTATCATTTTCTATCCACTCAGCCCAATTTATTTTTCTCCTTGCAGTTATCACAATGTAAACCCAAAGAAGGTACAGACAGTTCTACCTTAGCACTGTCTTATCCTCATGCCAAAGATAAGTTTGTGGCAAGTGACATTTGCCTACTGAAGAGGCAATTTCCTGAGGAGACTGTTGAGTAGAGATGATGAAACGGTCTTTGGAGGAGCTTCAAAAAGGGAGGTCTAGAAGAAGAGCCCAGTGTGTTTCACAGATCCCAGAGCGGGAGGCAGAGGTCAGAGAAGCCTTGCGAAGTCTGCTCCACAATTCCAGATTCTATAAAAATAACAATTATTATTAGTTTTTTGAATATTAATAATAATTATTCATTAGAAACAAGATATAATAGTACTACTTGTTAATCATAATATAATCATAAATAATTAATAATCACATACAACTATTAATCACATTATATTATTAATATATTGTTATTAATATGCCACTAATAGCATATTCATATCATATAAATAATATTAATATAGTATACCAAATATATTAATATATACTGTTAATATGCTAATATATTCACATGTAATCAATAATACATTAATATCTTAATATTGAAAGCATATCAACATTAAAATGTACTGATAAACTATTTTACTAATATTGTATAAATATTATTAATGATACATTATTAATAAACTGAATAATGTTAATATCAATTAATATTAATGACCAAAGACCCACCAACATGGGTCGTGTTGGCATCAAGACTGTGACGAAGGTGGCCTAGGTCATCGTAGAAAAGTACTACATGTGCCTGGGCAATGACTTCCACACAAACAAGTGTGTGTGAGGAGATCCCCATTATCCTCAGCAAGAAGCTCCACAACAGGAGAGCAGGCTGCGTCACGCATCTGACGAACCAGATTCAGAGAGGTCCAGTGAGAGGTATCTCCATCAAGCTACAGGAGGAGGAGAAAGAAAGGAGGGACAATTATGTCCCCAAGGTCTCAGCCCTGGATCAGGAGATCATCGAAGTAGATCCTGACACTAAGGAAATGCTGAAGCTTTTGGACTTTGGCAGCCTGTCCAACCTGCAGGTCACTCGGCCTACAGTTGGGATGAATTTCAAAATGCCTCGTGGAGCTGTTTGACTCTTTCTCCAATGCTGTAATATACAGCAGTCACTGGATTTTATTTTCAATAAACCTGGGACAACAGCAATAAATAAATACATAAATATTAATAAACTAATGTCAATATTAATTATCAATATCCTTGATAGCATAATTGAGAATATGTTATATTAATATAATTAATATATTAACATAAATATATAATGTGAATATATTAACATCAATATTAATAACATGTTAATATAGCAATGTTATATTAATATAATTTATTAATATATAAATATTTACATAGTATTAATATGCTAGTCTCTCTATATTAATATATTTACATAGCATTAAAATACTATTCTCTATATTAATATTTATATTAATATTCTTAGGCCTCTTTTGTATTTGTTGCACCCTAAGTCTGTTCATTTCCTTCTCCTCAGCTGACATTTGGAGCATAGCAGTCGATGATGCCCACACAGACACTGCCTGAGACTCACGCCCCTGGAGAAACGCAGATTTCCTTATTTTCCAGGTCAAGTCCTGCCAGCCATAGAAAGGACTTCTTTGGTGCCAACTGCTGTGAAATGCCTGCCTTGGAAATCTCAGTGCTCCCTTGTACCTGTCTGAGCCCAGGGAAATGCCATACTGTGGCACTGCTGCATCCTGTATGGCTACCCAAGGATGCCCAGGACTGGGTTTGAAAGAGATGAGACATGGCCAGGTGCCGTGGCTCACGCTTGTAATCCCAGCACTTTGGGAGGTCAAGGCAGGTGGATCACAAGGTCAGGAGTTTGAGACCAGCCTGGCCAATATGGTGAAACCCCATCTCTACTAAAAATACAAAAAAATTAGCCGGGCATGGTGGTGGGTGCCTGTAGTTCCAGCTAGTCAGGAGGCCGAGGAAGGAGAATCGCTTGAACCTGGAAGGTGGAGGTTCCAGTGAGCTGAGATCGCGCCACTGCACTCCAGCCTGGGTGACAGAGTGAGACTCCAACTCAAAAAAAAAAAAAAAAAAGAGATGAGACACTAGTGTCTCATGAGTAGAACCTGGACCAGACACAAATCTCCATTCCCAATGTTTAGTGCCTCATTAGTGCCCAACAACAAGATATTGGGTCTATGTGGGTAGGCCTGGGGCATCCTGTACAACAGGAGATGTGTTAGGGGAGGGAGAACAGATCACAAATTCATGGAGAGCTATTTGCAGAGCAGATACTCCCATCCACTCTGATATGTAGTTAATGTTCAGCTGTTCCTAAAAAGCACACCCAACAATGGGTGTTCTATTCCAGCCTAGGAAAATGTAGAGGCAAGGGGTCTGAGGCCAGAGGACACCACTAGATGGACCACTGCTCCTGACTGTGATGTTGTGGCCCACTCAGGTCCCAGCACCCCATGGTCTGGGGGAAAATTTGCTGGTTCAGCCAGAGGGCTGGATGGACAGTGTTTGCTGAGTCACAGATATCTCTCTCATGTAGCCTTTGTCTCCACAGTGGTGACCAGGAGGCACAGAACCCAAACCTGGTATCTCAGCTCTGTGGCGTCTTTCTTCAAAATGAGACGAATGAAACCATACATATGCAGATGAGCATGGCAGTGGGACAGCAGGCCCTGCCCTTGAATATCATTGCCCCCAAGGCTGTGCTGGTCTCCCTCTGTGGGGTCTTATTGAATGGCACTGTCTTCTGGCTGCTTTGCTGTGGGGCCACGAATCCCTACATGGTATACATCCTCCACCTGGTCGCTGCTGACGTGATCTATCTTTGCTGCTCGGCAGTGGGGTTCTTACAGGTGACTCTGCTAACTTATCATGGAGTCGTGTTTTTTATCCCTGATTTCCTGGCCATATTGTCTCCCTTCTCCTTTGAGGTGTGTCTCTGTCTCCTGGTGGCCATCAGCACAGAGCGGTGTGTGTGTGTCCTCTTCCCCATCTGGTACAGATGCCACCGCCCAAAATACACATCTAATGTTGTCTGCACCCTCATCTGGGGCCTGCCTTTTTGCATCAACATAGTAAAATCACTTTTCCTAACTTACTGGAAACATGTAAAGGCATGTGTCATATTTCTAAAGCTTTCTGGGCTCTTCCATGCTATCCTTTCACTTGTGATGTGTGTGTCGAGTCTGACTCTACTCATTAGATTCCTGTGCTGCTCCCAGCAGCAAAAGGCCACCAGGGTCTATGCGGTGGTGCAGATCTCGGCCCCCATGTTCCTACTCTGGGCCCTACCCCTGAGCGTGGCACCCCTCATAACAGATTTCAAAATGTTTGTCACCACCTCCTATTTAATTTCCTTGTTCCTCATTATAAACAGCAGCGCCAACCCTATCATTTATTTCTTTGTGGGGAGCCTCAGAAAGAAAAGGCTGAAGGAATCTCTCAGAGTGATTCTCCAACGGGCGTTAGCAGATAAGCCAGAGGTGGGGAGGAACAAAAAGGCAGCTGGCATCGACCCAATGGAGCAACCACACTCTACTCAGCATGTGGAGAACCTTCTTCCCAGGGAGCACAGGGTCGATGTGGAAACATAATTTCCCACATCTGAGCTGGGGAATTGTACACATAGTAACCCAGCCTGTTCTGCATCATAAGGCTGCTGCATCAAATCAATGCTTTATTCTAATCAAGTTCAGCTTTCATGGACTTTCAAAACAACCCCTTGCTGTTTGTGGTTGGAAGAGACATTAACTTCCTTCCTAGGCAGTAAGCCCAGTTTGAATGTGCTCCAGTTCCAACGATGAGGGGAATGGGACCCAGTGAGACTTTCCTGGTACCTGTGGAATCCCAAATAAAGACCATACAAAAGGCCATGCATTATTCTCAATCATTATCCTGGAACATCCTCCAAATCCAGCCACAGATTTTCCTCCCTTTGTCTATCTCCTCCTTAGATAGAGCTTGAGCTTGTCGGAATTACCAAGAGGCATCATCACATAAGAGTAAGAGTCAGGGTTTTGGACCCAGATTGCCTTTGTCCAAACTTTGGCTCTCCCATTCAAAGCATGTTATTGTGGGCAAATAACTCTCTGTAACTCTGTTTCATCTTATGCAAGAGGAGGATAAAGTTGGTATTTAATATGCATGGTTGGTGTGAGGATTAATTAACCTTATGAATATACAGGACTCCTTGGATTTTATTTACAACATGTGTAACAATTATTTAGTAAGGATGATGAATATGTTGCAGTGTGTTGAATAAATGTACAAAAACATTACGTTGGATAATATAATCCCTCCTCACTAGGTTAGAATTTACACCCAAACCTTTTACTTTGAAGAAAGCAAATTTACCTCATCCTCTCTCCAACTTAATACCATTTAATTCTTCATCTTGCTTACATTGCTTACAAAACTCTCATATTGGGTTTCTTTTGTTAAATGGAACACATCCTTTTTGCAAATTTTCTTTCCTCTGTGAGGAATTATGTCACTCACAATTTTCCTTGTTTTTGCCTTTTCCATGTTTTATCTCTAGTTAAAAAGGTCAACTTTAAGAGCATTTCTATGATCACATTCTCTGGCTGGTCTTATTGATCTTTTATTTCTTACAACATTATTGTAATTTGTAATGGTTCCACCATTTTGGTCTTATTTTAAGCTTCCCCTAGAAGACGAGAAGTTTTGTGAGGTTGAAGTCATTACTTCATGATTCAGTTTAATGTCCCAGTGCTTTGTACATAATAAGTTGTTTTAATAATACCTCTTTGTAATTTGAATAAAAATTGCATTCCCTTTAAGTACATACCCTTTATTTAAGCCTTATTAATTTTATATCTGTGATTTTAGACAATCCTTCAAGGACTAGAATTGCCATTCTATAATATTGCTTTATATATATATATGCTTTAAATTCTAGTTATTGTATATATTATTTTATTGTGGTCAAATAATATAACCAACAAAATGTTATTATTAATATTATTATTTGTATTTCTTTCAGATTTACTCTGTGGCTGAAGACATGGTCAGTTTTGTCCACCATGGTGTTTAAAATAATGTATAGTCTCCTTTTAAGGTGTAATTTGTCAAATAACTTTTTTTAATGATTTCTATATGTGCTTATTCAATTATGTGTACATGTTACTCAAAACAAAGAAGATTCATTCAAGTCTGATATTAAAATATATGGTTACCTCTTAATTCCCATACTGCATCATTGTGTAGCTCATGTCTCATGATGCTGACATTTCAGGAGCATGTTAAGGAGGTGTCAGAGTGAAGGAAGGGGCATGAGACTTCTCGTGGACAGGTCTTTGTCTCTCCACTTCTGTTAGCTCTCCATCTATAAGCAGATTAGTCCTTTTTCAGTTGTCTGAGCTGCAGATACAATTTCCAACATTTTCATTGGTCACTTACTTCGGTTATGATTTTAAAAACATGTTATTGTCAAGCACACCGTTTTTATAAATTTGAATTTGTCAGTCTTTTATGGCTTATGTATTGAGTTATGATTAAAGAAGTCTTACCTACATGAGATAATATAAAATGAATCTATGCTGTCTTATACTATTAAATTATTTCATTTGTAAACATGTAAATATTTGATCAATTTGATTTTTTTTTACTGGAGGATAGTGTGAAGTATAAGCCCACTTTAATCTTTTTTGTTAAACGGTTAAATTATTCAACTTTGTTAGTCATCAGGAGCACTGCATAATGAGATATGATTTTCTACCCCTGTTATTAATAAGCTTTAATGGCTGGACACACAGAAGAATATGGAGGATTTAATGTCTTCTGCAACCAAAGTGGTGAGTTTAAGTTATTGCTTTTGTTGGGGAAAAATTGAGTACTGTACCTTAAAATTATAAACACACATACACTTATAATCAACGTTTAAAGTTTTATTGCTCCATTTTACAGAGACAAAATAGTGTTACCAAGTGATATCCGTGACAGGGTGTTTATTGCAACAATACTGGTTTTACCTGCTCCCAAGGCAGAAAATCCCACTGTCCCTACTGCAGAGATGCATCTGGGAGGGATTGGGTGACTGGGCACTTTCACACCTGTAGCTGTTATGTACTTCTCCAAGGCAAAGCCATGAAGTAGGACTTAGCAGGAACTGGTGCCCATAGCTAGGAACAGGAATCTTCTCACACGCACACACACACACACAAATTACATTGATAAATATTTTCATGAGATTGTTTCCAGGGAATTTGTAAGACAAAAGTTTTTAATGAAATTACTACTCCCCACCTCTTAAAATAAAAGGAAAAAATAAAACAAATAAAATCAAACTAATAAGTGAAAATAACATGGCCAATAACATCATATGTTCAGACCCAAAGGTCCAAACCTGAACCCTGACCTTTTGCCAAAAGAAATGGGATTGTGAAATATGAACAAACATTAGAAAGGTGTTTCACCTCAAACACCCAGGTGTGGCCACGGAATAAACCAAATAAGGAAAATCTCCCAGAGGGAAGTTCCAGTGTCTATGGACAATTCACTAAATAGATTAGGTGAATCCTTCCAATGAGAAGAACAGAGAACTGTGAGCTTGAGAGTGATGGAACTTACTTTCCTGACAACAAGTGTGATTCTGTCTGTTCTTTTACCCAAGAATGTCTAGCTGGAAAGGACACTCACTGAATGAATGGAATTAAATGCCTGTCACGTGGGTGCCAGAATGGAGCTAGAGGCAGTAACAAGATGATACTAGGTACATACAGTTCTTGACAAAATAATGAATGCATTTCAAATAGATGCAAATATTTTAATTTTAACTTGGACAAGGGAGGGAGGTGTATATAATTTGGGGGTAGGTGAAAAAGGCCTAAGTGTTGGTTATGGTGAGGGCATTCCAATGAGATATCGCAGGACATTCTATGTGGTATGACTCTAAGAAGAGTTTTCACAGATATAAAAAGAGATGGAAGGAAAGGAAGTTCTTTTTTCTCGCATTTTTTATATCATATTCTGAGTATGAAGTCATATCCTAAGCATTCGGAAAACATGCCCAGTGAGGAATGAGGACAATATTCTGAAGATGCCAGAAGTAAAAGTGGATAATTCTAATTTTTTCAAGACATTGTGCCACTGACTTGAACATCTTGCAGCAGCCCTATCTACAGGTGTCTTGTGCTTCAATATTATACATCACTGACTGCTAAAATTAGTTTAATTGAGCTTCTCTATTTGGCAGCCAAAAACATTTCTAACTGGAAATATTTTCTTATCCTTGAATGAAAAGGCAAAGACAGCCTTCTATGGGAATGCTACACAGCAAACTGGAATCCTAGTACTAGATAAGCTTGCCTCATACATTGATGCCCATTGTTGTTAAACCAGGGCCTAGATTTATGTTTATAAAATTATCTGAGTGTGGCTTTTACTGTGATAGAAGCAAATAGTGCTGGTTCTCAAAGGTAGAAAAGCATAAGAGATACACTATATGGGGGAGGCCAATCTTATTAGGGGTGTCCTGTGGACAAGAGTCCCTGGATAGAATCCCAATTGTGTTTCAGATACATGACTATAGGCAGGACTTGAGCCTGATAATCACCAGTATTAGGTATCATGAGAGAGTGGGAACAGAGGATGCTCTTGAAACCAAGAATTTGAGACAGTGAGTCGAGATCATTTCACTCCATGCCAGTCTGGGCAACAAAGTGAGATTCTGTTTCTTAAAAAAAAACATACAAGGGATGTGAAGGACCTCTTCAAGGAGAACAACAAACTGCTTCTCAAGGAAACAAAAGAGGACACAAACAAATGGGAAAACATTCCATGCTTGTGGATAGGAAGAATCAATATCGTGAAAAAAGCCATACTGCCCAAAGTAATTGATAGATTTAATGCTATCCCCATCAAGCTACCATTGACTCTCTTCACAGAATTAGCAAAAACTACTTTAAATTTCATATGGAGCCAAGAAAGAGCCTGTGTAGCCAAGACAATTCTAAGCAAAAGGAACAAAGCTGGAGGCATCACGATACCTGACTTCAAAATATACTACAAGGCTACAGTAACCAAAACAGCATGGTACTGGTACCAAAACAGATATATAGACCAATGAAACAGAACAGAGACCTCAGAAATAGCACCACACATCTACAAGCATCTGATCTTTGAAAAACCTGACAGAAAAAAGCAATGGGGAAAGGATTCCCTATTTAATAAATAGTGTTGGCGAAAATGGTTAGCCATATGCAGAAAACAGAAACTGGACCCCTTTTATACAGCTTATACAAAAATTAACTCAAGATGGATTAAAGATTTAAACATAAGACCTAAAACCATAAAAACCCTAGAACTAGGCAATATCATTCAGAACATAGGCATGGGCAAAGATTTCATCACTAAAACACAAAAAGCAATGGAAACAAAAGCCAAAATTGACAAATTAAACTAATTAAAATTGACAAATTTTAGTTCAGTTGACAAATTACACTAATTAAAATTGACAAAATTTGACAAAATTGACAAATTAATTAAATTAAACTAAAGAGCTTCTGCACAGCAAAAGAAACTATCATCAGAGTGAACAGGCAACCTACAGAATGGGAGAAAATTTTTGCAATTTATCCATCTAACAATGGGCTAATATCCAGAATCTACAAAGAACTTAAACAAATTTACAAGAAAAAAACAAACAACCCCATCAAAAAGTGGGTGAAGGATATGAACAGACACTTCTTAAAAGAAGACATTTATATGGCAAACAAACATATGAAAAGGGCTTATCATCACTGGTCATTAGAGAAATGCAAATCAAAACCACAATGAGATACCATCTCATGCCAGTTAAAATGGTAGTCATTAAAAAGTCAGGAAACAACAGATGCTGAAGAGGATGTGGAGAAACAGGAAGGCTTTTACACTGTTGGTGGGAGTGTAAATTAGTTCAACCATTGTGGAAGACTGTGGTGATTCCTTAAGGATCTAGAACTAGAAATACCATTTGACCCAGTGATCCCATTACTGGGTATATACCCGAAGGATTATAAATCATGCTACTATGAAGACACATGCACACGTATGTTTATTGCGGCACTATTCACAATAGCAAAGACTTGGAACCAACCCAAATGTCCATCAATGATAGACTGGATTAAGAAAATGTGGCACATATACACCATGAAATACTATGCAGCCATAAAAAGGACGAGTTCATGTCCTTTGCAGGGACATGGATGAAGCTGGAAACCATCATTCTCAGCAAACTATCGCAAGGACAGAAAACCAAACACGGCATGTTCTCACTCATAGGTGGGAATTGAAAAATGAGAACACATGGACACAGGGCAGGGAATATCACACACTGGGGCCTGTTGGGGGTGGGGGTCTAGGGGAGGGATAGCATTAGGAGAAATACCTAATGTAGACGATGGGTTGATGGGTGCAGCAAACCACCATGGTACATGTATACCTATGTAACAAACCTGCAAGTTCTGCACATGTATCCCAGAACTTAAAGTATAATTTAAAAAATAATAATAATGAAAAAATAATTTGGGTACATATAATAAAAAAATTCAAGATCCACAATCTCTTGAATATAAAAACTACATGAAATATAGAGGAGATAGGACCAAAGGTAACAGCTGCTCTAGACCCTTAATGGCTCCCTTGTAGGGAGGATCAGTACTGTCCCATAAAGTCACATTCCCTATGTGACCTTGAGGTCTTCTCAGATTCTATCTCTGCAGTGAGGTAAACAGCCAGTCAGCACCGAAGGACAAGGAGGGGTGTATTTTAACATCTTGTCACCCTTTGATCATAGTGTATTTCATTCTTATATATCTCTCCTTCCTGGTCACTGTAGAACCATACAGAAACCATCTGCCCCACTATGTGAATCACATTTAACCACAAGGTTTTAAGAGGGAATATAATAAAAGATTATTTCCTGCAGGGATAAGAAGCAACTTCAAGCTAGAAATGCATGAATTGCTAGAGAAACCAACGAAAGGAGCCTTGCATCCATCTCATTTTTCTCAAGTTGAGCCACATGTGAACAAAAGTCTATATGAAATGATCAGCTGGCTCCTTCACAAACAGCTGTAGGTGAACGGAGGGGAATAGCATGAGGATACATGGAGTGTGAGCTTGATCTGGCTTTCAGTAAGAATTTGCCAATATGTTGTGTCAGAACCTGCTTGGTAAGTGGCACAGCACAAAAACATTCCCAAGACTTCTTTACATTATGTTTATGGATCATTCATGACTAATTTTCCAACAAAAACAAACATGCACTAGAGAAAATCAAGAAAGAGCAAATTGATCTTTGAGAAGACAGCAAAGTAAAGTTCTTACATTAATTTTACTTTACAAAACATGCAATTCAATTCATGACAAAATCCAAGGAGCACGTTTGAGCTACTGGAATTCCTGAGTTCATTGGGAAAATGCTGACCTGACTTTCCTCTTCTGCCTTCTAGGATGGGTTGGGCTGGGCTGGACCTCAGTCTGGGAGATGCATTAAAGTGGAGAGACTGACTTCTCTTAAAGATTCTTCTTTGTTTCAGGGGACAGTTCTTAAGGACAGAGTAATAGAGTCAGACAGGATTGGGGGATATCGTGAGATGTTGAGATAAAGATGCTTCAGTTAAAGGCCTGGGCTCTGATATGCAAGTGGCCCTGGTACAGGAAGACCTAAGGGACACAGGGAACTTGATAACTGCTTGTCAAGACCCAGTTCAAAGCAGATATGCTTAGAGAGCTTCCTGACATGAGGGCAGAACTTTGATCTCTCAGGAGGTTGGCCTCTGTGATACCAAGTCCGTCCAAGTCCTCCCAGGTATGAGAAAAAAGGTCTCTACCTTTTTTTTCATTTTCAAAGCATTTTAACTCAAAGACTCATTTTTTAAAAAAATTTAAAACCTTGTGATTTTTTTTTTACTGAGGAAGGTGCATTTGAAGATTGACAGGATAGAAACCAGTTTCCTGGAAAAAGGAGGGCCTGCGGTTCCCAAGGTAGCCCCAGTGGGTGAGCTACTTCTGTGTTCTGGTCCCTGGTTCACAGGTGCCCTGGCTGTGTAGATGGGCAGAGGGTGTGTTTTTCTGTTAGAAGTAGGATTTGAGCCACTGTGTTACTGAGGTGTGGTCTATGACTTCTGGGTGTAACCTTTCAGATTTTCCAATTTCCCAGCTTCTATATTCGTATTTAATTCTCATCTAACACAGAAAATGAAGTTCTGGCACATGCTGCACCATGAACAAGCCATGAAAACATGAGGCTGAGTGAAAGAAACAGAAACAAAATGTCACGGAAGGTTTGATTCCACTAATAGGACGTGTCCAGAATGGGTGAATGCGCAGAGACAGAAAGCAGATGGTGGTTGCCAAGAGCTGGGAGGGAGAAAGGGATGTAACTGCTAAGGGCATCCTTATGGGGCATGAAAATGTTTTGGAACTAGATAGAGTTGGGGGTTGCGCAATATTGTGAAGAGGCAAAGTGAGGCAGAACTGTGCACTCTAAATTGGTTAATTTATGTTATGTGAATTTCACCTCAGATAAAAATTAAGTGGGGAGGGTGGGCTCTCGCCTCAGAATCAGAGCAAATACTTCAATCCCAATGCAAAGGCTACTTGGCTATTTTGGCTGCACCAAACTGAGCACTTCCAACAGCGCTGGCTCCCTGAATCCCAGGATCCAGCCTGTTGTATCTACTCCTTGGGGAGCCTGGCTCATGACCCAACTTGGAAATGACATTCCCAAGACCACAAATGACATTTCCAAGTACCAGGATGTCTCTATGCCCAGTGCTGGGGCCACACCAGATGCCGAGGCCTCTCCACCCCAGGAGGGCTGCCTCCTCCTCCTAGGTGACAATGAAGAATGTACTGCTCAGTCACTGGGCTCAGTGGTCGTCTCTGGGCATGAGCTGGGTTTCAATGAGCTCAGGAATGGGAAGCATGACTCTGCCCCTGAGGCCACATGCCACCTCCATAGCGGATCTTTTCTTCTGGCTGGAGGGGAAGTCACTTCTTCCCATGAAACTATTTTATCTATAAATCTCCTCTCCTTGTTGGAGACCAAAGCCCAGCTGCTCCTGCTTGGTGCCCTGGTGGCCTGGGGTGGGCCATGGAGTCCTGTTTGCAGTTTCTCTTCTGTCACCATCACGAGTTCTGACACCCTGGCCTGGGCACAGAACCGCACATCAGCCTGATGTTTCCATGGACACCAATGTTACTAAGCCCCAAGCCTCGTCTTATGACCAGATTAGATATAAGCTGGATCTGCTTTCCTCTCCTGGCCTCAGATAAGAAAGTCTAGGCAACAGGCACAGGGAGGGGCGAGACTGGGGCCAGACCCTTCCATTTCAACAGAGCTGCTGACTGAAGGGGAACTCCATCATCCTGGCAAGGAGGGAAGATTCAAACACTGGGCTCACTTGGAGCTGGTCCCTAGCACTCTCCTGAAACCCCACTGATGCACCAATATGTGACTGCAGATCACAGGGTCACGTGTGAGATATTTCCTGGCATATCTTAGGCTTTCATCAATTTGTGGAACAATCTTTGTTTTAGAAGCCTCTGTGATCCATAAACAAAGCTTCAGTAGCTCAGGGTTGTAGGACCAGGTTCGTCTCACCATTCTGAGACTTCCCATGATTCCATGTATAAAGTTCTCTTCACTACTGTGATCATCAGCTTGGACTCCCATGACTAAGACCACAGACTGAGTGACTTAAATGATAGAAGTCTATTCTGTCACAGTCCTGGGGGTTGGAATTCTGAGATTAAGGGGTCGGCACTGTCGGTTCTTTCTGAGACCTCTCTCCTTGGCTTGTAGATGGCTGTCTTTTCCCTGCATGCTTACATGGTTGTCCCTGTGTGTTTAACTAATCCTAATCTCCTCATCTCATGAGGACACCAGTCCTATTGGATTAGGGCCCAACCTAAAGACCCATTTTAACATAATTACCTCTTCAAAGATTCTGTCTGCAGACACAGTCACATTCTGAAGTATTAGGGGTTAGGACCTTAACATATGAATTTAGAAGGTCACAATTCAGCTAATAACAGCAACCCTTAGATAGCTGGGAATACTGAGGCAGAAAAGGATCCACTGCTTATCAAAGATAGCTGTGATTTGCCCACATAAGATCAGCTTTCATACCCTTGGCCTGAACTCCCAGGTTACTAGGTTTGACTCAGCTGTGGGTTCCCAGAAGAGGTATTGATCCTCTCCCGTTTCATTTTTAGTTAGGTGACCAACCAGCTTGGTTTTCCCAGGGCTATCGGGATATTCAGGACAAGGAATTTTCAGGAATACAAACTAGGAAATTCTAAGGCAAAGTGGTACCTTTGCCCTCCCTGCACAATTCTTCACACAAAGACCTGTGATTGGCAGCCTGAAGCGGAGTGCCTGCTCCTGAAGTGGACAGAGCCCATGGCTCAAGTGCATGTCTCCCTCGGGACCCCATGAAGCAGCTTCTGGTGTGCAGGGTCCCCTGCTCTCACCTACATGTAACAGAGCAACTTAAGTCCTCTGCAGGCACCCTCCCCAAGTAGCTCCTCAGTGTCAAACCCTGTTCCAGGGGCTGGAGAAAAGGCAGTGAACAGAATTTTAAAGACAAAGTAAATTCTCATGGAACTTCCATTCCAGGGCATGATTCCCACAAAAGCAAGTAAGTGAATATCATAGACTGCCAGCAGGTCAAGAGTGCAATGTTTAAAGGCTGATCAGCAGAAGATCACCTGGAAGGTGACCCTGAGGCAGAGACTGGAAGGAGGAGACCGAGCTCACTGAGGCACAGAGGCTCTTCCAAGCAGGAGAACAGCATGTGCAAAGGTCCAGGGAGGAGGCCTGAGAGCTAACAGAGAAGAGGTGAGCAGGAGCAAGGTTGGGAGCCCTTCCCTTGAGTACTGACCAGCAACCTCCCCATCCAGGACTCAAGGAGTCTCAGAACCTCAAGGTAAAGTAGTCACTCAGTGCCCCCACCAAAACGATGTCACAAAAACAGCCTGTACCAGTGGGAAAGTTGGAGAACCATCCTTATGGGCTAATGTAAACAAATGTATTTTTTTATGCAGCCTTATAGATAATCTGGGTGCACGGGATACACACTGGGCCTTGGGCACAGCATGAAGCATCAGGGATAACTGAATGCGGTGGAGAGAGGGGTAAGGGTATGCATGAGAGGGCATCCTGCAATGGAGAATCTGGGAGGGAAGGGATGGGTCTCCCACAAGAAGCTTGCTCCTTTCCTCCACTCTGCTCTGCAGAATCCCTGCCAATCTCATGAGGCTCAGCAGGAACCTCTGAGGACAGAGGGCAACCCTGACTCTCCTCTCCAGACCTGGTATGTTACCAGCCTTTGTTTTTGCAGGATGTGCGCAGGCAGCAAAGGTAGCCCACCATAGCCTAGCTTCTCGCAACCCTCTCTGGAAAGCTGGATTGGGACAATGAGACTGAGACCTCAGGACATGTGAACATGAGCCATACGGGAGGTGAGTGGTTGGTGGACAGGCAGGTGGTCTTCTCCCTGACAGTGCTGGTGGCCCTCTGTGGACTGGTAGGCAATGATGTGATCTGCTGGCTTCTCTACTCACAGGTCTGGAGCAGCCCCTATGTGACCTACATCCTTAACCTGGCCACTGTTGATATGGTCAACCTCTCCTGTGTAACTGTGATCCTGCTGGAGAAAATCCTCATGCTGTATCACCAGGCGGCATTGCAGGTGGCTGTGTTTCTGGATCCTGTCTCCTATTTCTCCGACACAGTGGGTCTCTGTCTCCTGGTGGCCATGAGTATTGAGAGCTTTCTCTGTGCCCTCTGTCCCACCTGGTGCTGCCACCGCCCAGAGCACACCTCTGCCATGGTGAGGTGGGCCCTGGCCCTTTCTTTGTATGCAGTTAGCCAGGTCTGTGAGTACTGGGAGAAGTGCTTGGCATGTGACCAATTTCATGAGGCTTTATGACATGTCATGTACTTATTTGCTTTGTAATGGGCATGTCCAAGCTGATCCTGATCATCTGGGGTCTGTGCTGTCCCCAGTGGTGTTCCCCCATCAGGACCTATCATGTTGTCTGCTTTGTGATCATCAGCTTCTTCCTTTGGGTCCTGCCCTTAGTTGTCCTTGTGTGCCTGCCAGGAAAGTTTCTGACCCTTGCCTTTGACCTCCTGTTGCTACTGTCCATTGTGGTCAGCATGCCTCACCTAGTCATCTACTTCTTGGCTGAGTAACTCTACAGGAAGAGGCACAGGGAGTCCCTAAAGGCTGTTTTTCAGAGGGCTTTGTTGAGTGAGATGGAGGCATGGATAAAATGAGGCGTTTCAGGCCCCCGATCCCAGGGCAGATTTCAGCCTCACAGCTGGAAACAAACTGCTCTTCTAGGGGGCTCAGCTCCTCCACAAAGGCAGGGACTGCCTATGCACAAGGCTGTAAAAGGGATCATGTCTGGAAAACATGCTGGATCCTCCAAGGAGCAGGGTGAATGTTCTTGAGATTATTTATTACCTTTGTGTATTTTCAGAGTAACCAGATTTCTGACTGAATTCAAGACAAAATTACTTTGCTTCTGTTGATAGCCCATTATTCTCAATTCCCATGGAAACCCTCTGGAAAGGCAGGTCAGGAGCAAAGCAGACCTTCCTGGCTTCTTCTTTTTTTTTTTTTTTCCAGCTAATTATTTTATTTTATTTTATTTTATTTTTCTTTTTTTATTATACTTTAAGTTTTAGGGTACATGTGCACAACGTGCATGTTTGTTACATATGTATACATGTGCCATGTTGGTGTGCTGCACCCATTAACTCATCATTTAACATTAGGTATATCTCCTAGTGCTATCCCTCCCCCTTCACCCCACCCCACAACAGGCCCCAGAGTGTGATGTTCCCCTTCCTGTGTCCATGTGTTCTCATTGTTCAATTCCCACCTATGAGTGAGAACATGCGGTGTTTGGTTTTTTTGTCCTTGCACTAGTTTGCTGAGAATGATGGTTTCCAGCTTCATCCATGTCCCTACAAAGGACATGAACTCATCATTTTTTATGGCTGCATAGTATTCCATGGCGTATATGTGCCACATTTTCTTAATCCAGTCTATCATTGTTGGACATTTGGGTTGGTTTCAAGTCTTTGCTATTGTGAATAGTGTCATAATAAACATACGTGTGCATGTGTCTTTATAGCAGCATGATTTACAATCCTTTCGGTATATACCCAGTAATGGGATGGCTGGGTCAAATGGTATTTCTAGTTCTAGATCCCTGAGGAATCGCCACACTGACTTCTACAATGGTTGAACTAGTTTATAGTCACTGGCCATCAGAGAAATGCAAATCAAAACCACGATGAGATACCATCTCACACCAGTTAGAATGGTGATCATTAAAAAGTCAGGAAACAACAGGTGCTGGAGAGGATGTGGAGAAATAGGAACATCTTTACACTGTTGGTGGGACTGTAAACTAGTTCAACCTTCCTGGCTTCTGCAAGCTCCATATTTCTGAGAGTGACAAGTGTCATTCATCCTTATTCAGTCACCTTGCTCGGAGTTCTGTCCTCTGTCACCCCAGTCCATCCTTCCTGGGGACCCCTGGGCAGAGACTGATTCATGATCCTGATGTTCCTCCACCATTATGGCCTCAAGTTTCCATCCATCCCTTCCTACAAAAGCCAGGAAAGCGATTCAGTAAGAGTGCCATAACAAGTTGTTTCTGGCGTTGCTCACTGTGGAGAGATCTAACGCTGGCAGTCTGGCCTACAGCCTGGTTTCTCCAAGCTGTTTCACTCTGCTCATTCCAGGTTCCACGCACAGGCTACTCTCTGTGTTTTTCCCAGACTCATCACACAATCTAGCGCCTGTGCTTCTTCACAGGAATCCCACCCTGCAGAATGTCATGCATTCTTCCCCACCCTGACCAGGGTGTTGCCCGGCACCCACCATGGTCAGAACCTTAATGAGAGCCCCTGACCAGCCCCAGCTCCATCCCGTCAATGCTCTATAGCCATCACAGCAGCACATCACCCTGCTTCATTTGTTCAATTGCACCCCAGCCAGCGTAACTCTTAGATTTCAGGATGGTGTCCACCCCCTGAGTTGTCCTCAGGTGCACCATTTGACCTTGTCCCATGACATCCTCACACAGGATTCACTCTCTCCCTTGTTTGCACCAGACTCGCGCCCAACCTTGCAAGGTCCCTTTCTCCCTTCCCTGCTTAGAGCACTCCCTCAACACTATCTGTACATTTTACTCTTTTTCACCCTTCACTCCTTAAAGATGTTTGTCCAGACCACCCCATTTAAATCTCCACCCCTTTTTGACTCTTCTCTAAAAGGTTTGTTTCTTTTAATGTGAAGATAATTGTCTATAATTATTTTCTATGTATTCTGTGTTGTGTGTTGTTATCAGTTTATTGTACTCCTGCCTCATTTGCACTTGAAGCCCCAGTAGGGCAGAGGCCACACCTTCCTCCTACCCTAGCAAATTCCCAGCAAGTAGCAAAATGCCCTGCAAGTCTGACATTAACCCCCCATCATCTGATGTTATCCATCGCTCACTAGTCCACCTTTCCACCTTGCATGTTTCCACATGTTTTCATTGTCTCTGCCTTCTTGAGGCTTCCCAACCATATTCTAACTAGAATTCGACGAACACGTCTTTGGAGATTGTTCCCAGTGTTCTTGTAATTGATTTGTCAGTTTTTTACTCACTTGGAAAATGTCACTTGTATAATACTATGACTGTTATGTGAAATTCACACTGTTTTCTCTGTTGCCGAAAACTTGCTCAGGTTTGTAAATGTGCCAGTGATACTGGTAAGCAATGTACATTCTCTTATTTTAGATATTCAATGTGATACATTCTAAAGCAATTCTGAGATGTTTAGATTACAGCAATTCTTTAAATGCTGTTACTTGGATCATATTGATTTCTGCCTAGTGTAAATGACAAAATTGATAGGGACATGTTCATATCTCCTATTAGTTTGTTTCACATCACACTAGAATTTGAAACAGAGTTTGATTTACATAATTTGATGTTGTCCTTTGATAAGTGAATGGCAGAAACCCTGGCCCTAGAGCACAGAAGGGCTGATCCGGGCTGCCTGTCTTTAGTCAGCGTGTTTTGTTCTAACAAAATGCCATAGATTAGGCTACAAACAGCAGATATTTATTTTCTCAGAGTCCTGGAGCTTGGAAGTTCAAGATCAATGTATCAGCAGGGTGGGCTTCCCCTGAGGCCTCCCTCTTTGACTTGAGATGGCCGCCTTCTCCCTGTGTCATGACATGGCCTTTTTCTGTGTACCCACATCCCTGGGGACACTTTCTATTCTTATGAGGATTTTAATTCTTTAGGATTAGGACCTCAGTCTTATGAGCTCCTTAACCTTAATTATCTCTTTAAAGGCCCTATCTCAAAATATTGTCACATTCAGGGTTAGGACTTTAGCCCGTGAAGTTTGGATGCCTGGAAGTAAGAGGCAGGTTGATCTCACAGAGTTGGGCTGCTGCTATGTTCAGGCAGGGGATACAATTTGGGCATTTTATGTGCCTTTACCCTGGGCCAACAGTTCCCTTGGAGGTGAGCATCTGGCTTATGGTTCTTTAGTTTTTTGTGGAAACGTCTCTATTATCCTTGCAGCTGATGAGCTCCTGGCAACACAGACAGTCCTCAGTTTCCTGAATTCTCTCACTCACTCAGAAAAACAAAAATGTCAAGGCTAGGTATGGACTATTACAGTTTAGTAAGTAATCCCCTTCCTTCCCTCTGGAATTGAGAACTACTGATGAAAGTGAATGAAGGAATGAGGACAGTGTCAGATGGAGAACAATGCATTACTTCTATTGCTCCTAAAATTGAACTGGAGAAAGGGGCTTGGATGTCTAAAAAACTGACTTTCAAAAGTGCCCCTTAAATGGTACCTACTCCAGAGGATCCCATCCCTCCTCCCTCTTCCTGCCCATCTCTCTTTGGAGGAAAGCAGTCCTTCTGGGGAACTCACCACCCACTGGTGAAGGGAGCACTCACTCCAGGTTATTCTTCCAAACTCACTCATCAGTTTCTTTCCTTCTCCCCGGGAGGGAAAAAGTGCGGGGAAAGAGAGAGAGCCCAGAGCTTAAAATAGACCTGAGATTCTCAGTCTTAAATAGTATTGAGCAGCTCAAAGAACTTTTGTGGATCAGGGTTGTATCTTTCAATATTTACAGTATTAGTAATTATAACTCAGAACTTTACAAATGTTTACTTATTAACTCCTTTAGAACATAAATTGTATGCCTATTCCATGTAAACATGAATAAATTTTAGAAAAAATAACTATGTTTTCTTTAAAAAGTTATGTTATTGAGAAGAGCAAGATGGTTTTGTATTTTGCAGACCTCTTAGAGGCCCAGCAGCAAGCTGGACATTCACAGCTGCTTCTGCATTGGTGTAGTTTTCCAGTTGGCGGCTTCATCTCACCTCATACAGTCTCTGGAAAACTCCACTTTCACTCAGGAGTGCATGAGTGTGAGAAACACAGACTCACTTCAATACTTCAAGTATTACCTGAAGATTATGTTGGCCTCCCTTCCCCTAAAAAGGTGTTGGGGACCACATCTCAAGAATTACTCCTCTGGGGTGATCCCCACCTGGAAATAAGGGCTGAGGGAGTGGAGGCACCCACCCTCTCACACCAGTTCCCTTGTTTGGAATTTTTAAAGAGAGAGGCATCCCAGCATTCACCCCGCAGTAGGGCAGAACTGTGTGGCACATCCTGAGAAGGGATCAGCGGGTGACCAGGACTGAGCCTCTGCCACCTGGAAGAAACTGTACCCCAGGACTGACCAGAGTGTCTTGTGGAGTTTCGGCCTCACCAGGAGGCACTTGAATCATGGTAACCATAAGACGCTGCACGGGACAGGAAGATGAATAGTAGCAATAGCAACTAGAGCAAATATGTTCACTGATGATTTACTGTATCTCAATATTGCTCTAATCACTGTGAAAACATGAAGCCAGTTTTCACACTCTATTAATAGGTAACATTATTATCCTGCTTCAGCCTAAGCCAAAAGGCTGCTTGGCCCACTTAGCTGATTGTTATCCAATGGTCCCAGCACATTTATAACAAATATAGTCCTTCACTATTGTTCTGATTTTTGGTTATCAATCATGTTTAGACTTATGTGGGTCTGTCTCTGGGCCTTCTGCTCTGTTCTGTTGGCCTATTTATCCACCCTTGGACAACACCACACTTGATGTAGTTACTGCATCTTTCCCGTGCATATCTATGCCCAGGAAACTGAGTCCTCCTACAAACAGCCAGAGAAGAACAAGACATATATGTACAGAAAATCAAAGATAAGAATGAAGCAGATTTCTTGTTGGAAAGTTGCAAGTTGTATGACAGTGGAGAAAATTCTTTAAAATATTAAAAGAAATAAATTTGTCAGCCTAAAATTTTTTACACAGTCAAAATATTTCCCAAAGAGATGGCAAAATAAAGAGGTTTTTGGAGACACAAAAAAGATGAAACAAATCATCACCAGGAGATATGCAGACTGAGAAGTGGTAAAAGACATACATCCAGCAAGAGAATAATGACTCCACATGGAAATCTGTGTCTATTTAAGGAAGGAGTCCTTTGCCCTGATGGTATCTTCTTAAGACGCTGAAATAAGTGGTGAGAGCCAACATTCTTGGCTTGTTCCTCATCTGGGGTGAAAGCATCCAGTCTTTCATTATTAAGGGTAATACCCACTAAATATCAACCATAGGATTTTTTTTTTGGTAGCTGCCTTTTATCATTTTGAGAAACTTCGTTTCTATTCCTAGTTGACTGAAATTTTTTATGAGCCTATTGGATTTTGTCTAATGCTTTTTCTGAATCTGCTGAAATAATGTTTTTGCCTTTTAATCTGTTAATGTGGTGAATTATATTGGCTCATTTTTCATGTTAAACCTGCCTAGTATCCCTGGGATAAATTTCACTTGGTCTTGATGTGCATATATTTATATTTCTGGTGCACATGTATGTATGTTCATGAGAAAGTGATTCTGTGTGTGGCGATGCAGTAGACCTAGAATAGTTAAAAAAAAAAAAAAACTTTGAAAAAAGAAGAAGCAAGTGAGACAGTTTATAATACCCGACTTCAAGGCTTATTATAAAGGTTCAGAAATCCAGATGGTGTGATATTGGTAACAGGATGGACAAATAGGTCAACAGAACAGAAGAGGGTCCAGAATAGACCCTAACATATATCTTCAATTGATTTTGAAGAAGGTGTAAAGTAAATTCAGTGGAGAAAGGACAATCTTAGCAACAAACGGTCCTTAGAATTATTGGATATACATATGCACATATGAACAGAACTTCAATCCATACGTGGCATCATACATAAAAATTAATTCAGAATTTATCATAAACCATAATGTAAGACCTAAAGCTGTAAGCTGTATGTAAGAAAAGAAAAGAGAATATCAGTGTAACTTATGGTTAGGAAAATATTTCTTGGATGAATACAAAAAGTATGATGCATAAAAGAAAAAATTGATCAATTGGATTTCATCAAAATATAAGATGTGTGCACTTTGAAAGACCCTGTGGGGAGAATGAAAAGGCAAGTTCCAGGCTGGAGGAAGTGGTTTCAATCTCACATCTGATGAAGGACTCATATGTAGGATCTATAAAGAGCTCAGATGAATGGGCCCCTGGCAGCCCTTGGGAATCACAGGGGTGCTGTGCCATGGACAGACATGGAAGACACCTCCCACCCTGTCATTCATGTCTTCTGAGCTGCAGTACTCAATGTCCCCTACAAATGCCCCCTCCTGGGCCCACAGACCCTCCTCTCCCCACATCCACACCCTCAGGCCAGGCCCTGGGGCTCTTGTTGGGACAGGGCCCCTCCTGCAGGATACAGGGAGGGAGGAACTGTCAGTCTCAGGCTCTGGGTGCCCAGCTTCAAGCTTACCCACCTCAAGGCCCTCTGGGCCCATCTCACAGGATATAATGAGGTAGTCTGGCACCTACTGGACATGCTATCTAGATCTAATCCTGAGCTGTGGAGCCAGAGGAAAGGAGGGATGTTTGTTGGACCAGTTACCCTGTTCTGCCAGGTCTCACAGGGCCCTTCCCTTAGAGGCCAGCTCTAGACACACAGCACAGAGGCCAAGAGGTAGCCAGCCCAGAACCTGCAGGCTGGGCTGGGGACCACACGAGGACTGTCTGGGGACAGCCAGAAGACCCCTCACTAGTTTTCTCACTACCTCATTTCTTATCAGCTACCTTACCTCCATCAAAACCCCCCTTCACGCAAAATCAGTAAGAGGAGGAAGATGGTAAAAGAATCAACGGGAAGAAAACAAAAAAAGGACAACCATTAACAGTCCAGAACCCTGGGTGGGAAGAGTGGAACTGGGAACAGACCCTTTCATTTCAACAGAGCCTTGACTGAAGGGGACTCCATCATCCCAGCAAGGAGGGAAGATTGAAACACTAGGTTCACTTGGAGCTGATCCCTAAACTTCTCCTGAAACCCCACTGATATACTGACATGTGACTGCAGATGCCAGGGTTGCCTGTGGCATATTTCTAGAAAAATCACAGGCATTTATCAGTTTGTGGGACAAGTTTATTTCCAGAAGCTTCTGTGACCCAGAAGCAAAGCGTTAGCAGCTCAGAGTTGTAGAATCAGCATCTCAGATTATAGGATTATAGGATCTACCAGGTCGTAGATCTCACTATTGCAAGACTTCCCATGATTCAATTTGTAAAGTTCTCATCACAACTGTGATCATCAGCTTGGACTCCCGTGACTGAGACCACAAACCGAGTAGCTTAAACTACAGAAGTTTATTCTCTCTCGGTTCTAGGAGGCAGGAAGTCTGAGATCAAGGAGTGGGCAGGATAGGTTTCTTCTGAGGACTCTTTCCCTGGCTCCTAGATGGATATCTTCTCCCTGTGTCCTCACATCGTTGTCCCTTGTGGTGTTTGTATCCTAATCTCGTCTTCTTATAAGGACACTAGTCCTACTGGATTAGGGCCCATTCTAATAATCCATTGAATTTCACCTCAAGTAAAGATTAAATTAAGGGCTAGTGTGAGCTCTCATCTCAGAATCAGAGCCATTACTTCAGTCCCAAAGCAAAGGTTACCTGGCTGTTTTGGATGCACTGAGGCAGACACCTCCTTCAGAGCCTGGTCCCAGAGACAGTTTCTACTAACTGCTTGTTTTTCTGTGTATGGGCCTTACTTTATTGTTTCTTTGCATGTTGTATTATTTCGTTCTTTCTTTTTTAACTTAGCATTTTAAACAGTATAATGTGGCAACTCTGGAAGTCATATTTTTTCTGTTCCCAGATTTTACTATTGCTAGTGGATGTTTTTTGATCAGGTTTTTAAAAACTATCTGTCAAGTCTGTTCTTTTTTGTTTTTTTGTTTTGTTTTGTTTTTGTTGTTGTTGTTGTTCAACGTGGCCACTGAAGTCTCTGCTTGGTTAGCTTAGTGGCCAGGTAAAGACTGGACAAAGATTTCCTTAGGTTCCTGGAAGTAATGTCTCCCAGTGTATGTAGAGAGGCTCTGTGTGCAGGTAGATACAGGTCTTCAAAGCCCAACCAAGCAGTTTACACTGTGTCCTAGCCTTCATTTCCTGTCTGTGCAGTGCCTCAAACTTATTCAGGGTTAGAGCTTAGAGCCTGCTCAGGTCTGTTCAAAGCATATATGCAGCACTTGTCATGCCCACATCTATGCATGCATGTGGCCGTTGGAACTTTCTGGAGTATATTAAGGCTTTTCAATCCCCTTTATGGGCATCTCATTCCCTGACATTTCGTTTTTAAGTTCTTGGTTAGGCTATTGTTTGTTCCAACTGTTATTTATGACCATCGGCAACCATGATGTTCAACAACTGCCTATGATTCTTTTTACTCATTTCCCCAGGAAATACATTGTTCTCTCTGGGATAGCTCTGAGTCAAGTCAAATAAGGATAGCATTGTGAGTTCTAGGGAACAACCAGACAGGTAAAATAATAACAGTCCTCTGGAAATAAGGGATTAAAGGATCTGTAACCCTATTGTGTCCCCTCCAGTGATTTCATGTCTGCTGGTTTTCACCATGATTGTGGACCGTTGGTTTTTAAGAGCTGAGGAGGAAGGAACAGGAGTGGAACCAGTTAAAACATCACAGAGCTCACTGTTCTTATCAAGATTCAGCTATTATTCTTGAACAAACACTCCCCAGATTGCAGCAAGCCTTTGGTTAATTTCTAGAGTTCTAAACAATATTAATTCTGACAATTCTTCCATAGTTCATTTTACTCTTAGGAAGTAGGTCATTTTTGGAAGTCATTACTCTGTTATTTTTGTTGATGTCACTGTGTTACTGGAAAGGGGCCCCAATCCAGACCCCAAGAGAGGATTCTTGGATCTCATGTAAGAAAGAATTTGGGGCGAGTCCATAAAATGAAAGCAAGTTTATTAGGAAAGTAAAGGAATAAAGTATGACTACTCCATAGACAGAGCAGTGGCATGGGCTGCTCAACTGAGTATACTTACAGTTATTTCTTGATTATATACTAAACACGGAGTGGATTATTCATAAGTTTTCTGGGAAGACGGTGGGCAATTCTCAGAACTGAAAGTTCGTCCCCTCTTTAGATTACATAGGGTTACTTCTGGACATTACCATGGCATTTGTAAACTGTCACGGCATTGATGGGAGTGTCATTCAGCATGCTAATGCATTATAATTAGAGTATAATGAACAGTGAGGAGGACCAGAGGTCACTTTCATTGCCATCTTGGTTTTGGCCGGCTTCCTTACAGCATCCTGTTTTATCAGCAGGATCTTTGTGACCTATATCTTATGCCAACCTCCTATCTCATCCTCTGACTGAGAATGCCTAACCTTTTGGGAATGCAGCCCAGCAGGTTTCAGCCTTACTTTACCCAGCCACTACTCAAGATGGAGTCACTCTGGTTCAAACGCCTATAACAACAGTATGGTTTTTTGTTTTATTGGAATTGTTGCTTTAGGGATTATGATATAAATATTTACCCTTTCATGGTCTACTTAGAATGAATAGATCCATTTATTATTATTAGTTTATTCAGTAATTGTCATATGTATTACATTTGTATGAATCCCCATCAGTGTTGTACTTTTTAGTTCCAACAGAGATACATATTTTAAATAATTCAAAAAGAGAATAATATACGATTGCATTTACCCAGATAATTACTCTTTCTGTTGTTCCTTTTTCATTCATGATATTCTGATTTTCCCTCTGGTTTTATTTCCTCTCTGCCTGAAGCAGTGCAATCCATGCTTAAAAGCATTTCTTTTAAATCAGATGAGTTGGTGATACCTACTTTCACTGAGAATATCTTTACTTCATCTTCGTTTCTGAAGAATATTTTAACTTTATATAGAATTGCCTAAATGAGTGTCAATTGTGAGGAATGGGAATTAATGACATTGGCTGCTAAAATGGAGTGAAGAAGGTAGGTGAACAGCTCTGGTCTAAGACCAAGGTTCCCATGCAGGACTTGGTTTTTCTGCTGGGCTTTAAGACCCCAAAGCCCAAGAAAATGCTATCGTCTTATGAAATTTCCAAGAAGAAGACCATCCACCTCACCTTAAAGGTGGTGAAGCCCAAGATGCGGAGCTGCCCATGTTTCTGGTGGAAACATGTGATGAGGAGCAGAGAAATCTCCTCCTGGCATGACTTAATTTAAAAAAATATGGTAGATTATGGCATCAGAAAGGACAAATTACATTTCTTGACACACCACTCCACTGGAGGTGACCCAGGGGTAGAGAGATGCTTAAGGAAAAGCAGTTCATTTTCTTCTGGCTCATGTTCAGTAACCAGGGTGCCCAAATACTTTGAAGACGGAGTCTTAATCCAGAAGATAGGAGTTCTGTGTAACCTATACTATATGGTTACTTGATAGCAACAAAGTTCTTGTTGAAATATTCTGTTATAACTCAAAGGTTATATTATGTTTGCTTTTTTTTTCTGGACTCTTTAGTGGAAAATGGAAAAAAATACTACAAATAAAACATTAAACTTTTCCTTCCAATATTTCACCTTTATTTCAGTCTCAAAAAAAGTGTTATTTGCAACTTTAATGTGGCCAGAACCATATACATTTGAAAGGCTGCTAAATTGAAAACAATAGAGCCTGCATTTTGGTTGTAACAATCCATTCTGTGTATTTGCATGTGATTATAGATTTGCTAAGTTTTAGTTCCTCCTTTCCTCTGGCTGTAACTTGAGGCAGTGAAGGAGAAAGAGAAGGCAAAAAAGGGTCAATAGAAGAAGGAGCAACTGGACAGAAAGAACCTTGAGGAAGTAGGAAAGAAGACATGTGCAGGGGGTTGAATGCTTATGTCCTTCCAAAATTCATATGTTGAAATCCTAAACCACCAAGATGATGGCATTAGAACATGGGGCCTTTGGGCAGTGATTAGGTCACGAGGGAAGAGGCTTCATAATTGGAATTAGTGCCCTCATAAAAGAGACTCCAGAGAGTTGGTAGTCCCTTTCACCATGTGTGGGCACAGCAAGAAGTCACCTTCTATAATCAGAAAGCAGGCCCTCAATAGGCATGAAATCTGCCTTAATCTTGGAGTTTCCAGCCTCCAGAACTGTAAGAAAGAAATGTTTGTTATTTATAAACCACCCAATTTATGTGTAGCTTGTGATAGTAGCTTGAATGAACTAAGCTAACACGGTAAGAACCAGAAATGAAGATAGAGTGACGGTGATGACTGTCAAGCACACTCATGAGAAGCAAGGCAAGGCCATGGCCTAGCTGATTTGGCTGGAGAAGATATGAGCCACTTTTACACTTAGATGGCTTATTATTTACATATAAAAAAGAAGTAAAAGCCAAACGTGCCAATTCCCTGGCTCCTTGTCCTACACACCAAAAAGGATGACACGGAAACCAAAGGGGCCAGACGACTGTGACACTGTTGTGGAATATACCACTGGTGAGGAGTCAGTTCTAGAATCCAGCTATTCCTCATTATATTCTTCAGCTATATCCTAAAGGGTGTGGGGCAGAAAACCCCATGCTCCATCCAAAACCTGGGAGACAGTAAAGACTTGTCACATGACATACTCCCAGGGATATAAGAAGGAGAGTGAGAGATGGCATTGAGGCAGGTTCTAAAGGGCCTCCCATCCTCTCATATTCCAGGAGGATCAAAAAGCATTCTTCTAAATCTCAGATTAGCTGTTCTTCAAGCCTTTGCTTACATGACCTACGTAGATACATGCAAGGTGTCCAGAATGCTATGATGGAGTAGTTCCCCTACACTGACATGACAATTGGAGAGCAATTATATAACCAGAAATAGGCATGGTGGAGTTAGGAAATCTATAGAAGTGATGACAGTAAAAAGAACAGAATGGAGGATAGAAATATTAAGAATGGACAGTGATAGGAATGATAATATTTGAATTTGTGTGCCTTATGGAGCTACCTATCTCCTCTCACCCAATTTCTTTTATCTCTCTGTCCCTCTCTTTCTCATTCTCCCTCTCATAGATAACATAGCCACACTGTGACCCACCACAGTGGCTCAGGTGTATGTGGGAAGGGTAGTAGTCTGGAAAACTTAACATGTTCATAAATCTTGAAGAAACTCTTCTTACTTTCGAAAGTATATTAAGCAGCTCTCCAGCTTTCCCTGGAGTCTCTTTCCTTCCCTAGTAACCTCCTGAGTGCTCGCTTTATCTCCTTGTTCCTCAGGGTGTATACGAGAGGGTTAAGTGAAGGAGTGCCCACTGCATAGAAGAGACCAAAGAACTTGCCCCTCCCTTGGGCATACGGATTTTTGGGCTGGAGGTAGACAGCAATGACTGAGCTGTAGAAGAGGGTGACCACAGTGAGATGGGAGGAGCAGGTCCCAAAGGCCTTTCTCCATGCTGTGGCAGAGTTAATCCTCAGCACTGCCTGGGCAGTGGCTCCATAAGAGGCAAGGATGAGGCTGAGAGGCACAACCACGAAGATGACACTGGACACAGCCAACTGGATTTCATTGTAGGAGGTATCTCCACAGGAGAGTCGAATCAGAGATGGGACCTCACATAAAAAGTCATCTATCTGCTGGTGGGGACAGAAGGGCAAGTGGAGGGTGGATGGTGTCTGGACTATCGATTGAACCAGACTCATAACCCAGGCCACAGATGCCAGCTGCCAGCACAGGCGGGGGTGGATGATGGTGGCATAGTGGAGGGGCTGGCAGACAGCCACGTATCGGTCAAAGGCCATCACTGTCAGGAGGATGCACTCAGTGGTCCCCAGGGACAGGAAGATGAAGAGCTGGACAGAGCATCCCAGGAAGCTGATGGTCTTCTTTGGGCCCCAGAGGTTGACCAGCATCTGGGGGACACAACTTGTGGTAAAGCAGAGGTCCAAGAAGGAGAGGTCAGA
Organism: Homo sapiens; assembly: GCF_000001405.40. Classification (NCBI taxonomy): domain Eukaryota; kingdom Metazoa; phylum Chordata; class Mammalia; order Primates; family Hominidae; genus Homo; species Homo sapiens. Next base: position 770,965 of record NT_167249.2, on the reverse strand, counting down.
GAGGAAAAAGTACATTGGAGAGTGGAGCCTGGGGTACAGTACAGACAGCAGGATGATGAGTGTGTTGCCCACCAGGGTCAAGAGGTAGGAAGTGAAGACAACCACAAAGAGAGTCCTTTCCAGTGCTGGGTGTTCAGAGAAGCCCAGAAGGAGGAAGCCCATGGGGGAGCTTTGGTTAACCATGGCCTGTTCTTGTTTGTACCTGGAGGGATGAGGCTGTCACCCCAGTGTGATTCAACCTGTCTTATCAAAACTCAGCCTGGGTGTTTGTGAGGTCACAGCAGGTAGGTGTTTCTTTTCTGTCTCTGCTCACCCAGCCTCCCTTTCCCAGGCTTATCGTCATCCAGCAGCTCCTTCTCGTTCCCTGTTCCTTCTGATCAAACGTTGTCTAGCAGAAGTGAGGAAACCAAGAATGTGCTGGAAAGCAGGTGGAACCTCACATTGGTGCCTCTGACTTCCTGGTTGAGGGCAAAGAAAGCTGATGTAAAACATGGATTAATTAACCGATCTTCATTAATTCAACAATAAATTGTTAGGCTCTATCTTATTCTAAATGTTGTGGTAGTTCTGAATATTTCATTATGTACATCCATAAAGAATTAGAAAAGAATCATTTGATAGAATTGCCCTACTATTCATATGTATGCAAAATTATTCTGTATTCTGGGGCATAAGTTTCCTGGAATTATTCATGTTTTATCTACTTTATCTTTGTTTGCAGAGGTGTCAATCAGAGGCAGAGTGTAGAATTAACAAAGAGATTTCTCCGCTGTGTGTATTAACTCCACTCATAGAAAAATCAATGAGGTATTTTGTTCCTTCTCCATTAAAAAAATTATGATTCATTAAACTAAATGTAAGAGCTTCCTCCACAAATGAAAATCCCTAACCTCAACTTAACATTATGTAGAATGTAGCAAAATGACATGAAAAAAATGCTGCCAATTGTCTTGTTCTGGGGCTTAGAAATTAAAAAGATGATATAATTTTTAAAATTTTTTGCCTCTCAAATAAGATTATGTCAATAGCAAAATAGAGAGTTGATATTGGGACGTTTAAGTAGAAATTATTCAGGATCTAGAAGAATTTAAAGAAAAAAAGGAAGGAATTAGAATTTGTTACTTTCTTAATTCTATTCACTATTTAAGATTTAAAACATTATTTTTATAAAAATTCATACCCCCAAATTTTAAGAGTAATTTAAAGAATTTCTGAATGTTCTTTATCTATATTAGTAAAGTGCTAACACTTGACATTTTTATCATTACATCTTTATCTTTGCATATGCAATTATATTTACCCTGAGCTACTGAACAGTGAGTTGTATATATAATGCCTCTTCACTTCTTCATGTTTCTAAGATAGAATTTTTTTTTAGTGTAAAAACAGCTCAGTTACTAAATACAGGAAAGCCAACATTGATAAAGTATTATTGGCCGGGTGTGGTGGCTCACGCCTATAATCCCAGCACTTTGGGAGGCTGAGGCGGGCGGATCACCTGAGGTCAGATGTTTGAGATCAGCCTGGTCAACATGGTGAAACCTCGTCTCTACAAAAAAAAAAAAAAAAAAAAAAAAAAATTAGCGGGGTGTGGTGGTGGGTGTCTGTAATCCCAGCTACTCAGGAGGCTGAAGCAGGAGAATCGTTTCAACCTGGGAGGTGGAAGTTGCAGTGAGCTGAGATCGTGCCATTACACTCCAGCCTGGGCAACGAGAGAGAAACTCTGTCTCAAAACTAACTAAATAAATAATAAAATATTATTACTTACTCTGTAGACCATACTTATAGTTTTGCCAATAATTTCTGTTATATACGTGTTTTCCCATGGAAGATCCACTCCAGATTATGTATGTCTGAGCTTGCCCTCTTAAGTAGCCTTTCCTTAGTCAGTGAAATAACAAGCCTTAAAGTATAGGCTGGTCGGTTCAGTTCCTAGCATGAGAAGCAGAGAGACTAGAAGAGTATGGCCTCATGTATTCAATAAACACTGGGAAATACATGGGAAAATTGAGACCCTCCCCAACACCGCCGCCCAGAATTGAAGGCAAATAAATTAAGATGAGGTGTGGGTTAGGAAAGAGTCTGCACAATAAAGGAGGAATCTGGGTGGGTGGGCCACGGAAAGCCTTTAGGAGGAGGTGACATGCATTTTTGCTGTAAAAGACTGTGCTGAGACACATGAGGCAAGCTCAATGATGGGGGTGGGATGCGGCACCACCCTGGCAGGTAAGAGGCAGAAACTGAGGGTTTTCTGAGCACAGACAATGGCAGGAGGGCCGTTTAGGGGATGTGGCCATTTAGGGCAAGCAAGTTGGTGGTCTCATTGGCAGACAGTGCCCTGGGACTTTATGGGATGGCACAATCACCTCTGCATCACAGGACCCTGTCTGGTGTTAAAAGCTGCCTCCCATCTCCCTTTTCATCAAGACTCCCTCCTTTTTGTCTCCTTCTATATTCCTTCCTCCATCATTACGTCTCTCCTTGAGGATAAGATTTGTTCCCTTAATTTTTTAAAAATCATATAAACAAAAAGTATATAAAACACATCTATGGATTTTATGGAATAATAAACACATGGTGTACCTGAATCTCCTCCTGATTTAAGAACAGATCAAATATTACTGGTATCTTAGAAGTCTTCTGTGTTCTCCTCCCTGATCACATCTCCTTCTCTCCCACTGAAGAAGTAAACACTATTCTGATTATTTTAAATGTATCGTTCCTTTTTAAACTTTGCAGCCTCATATCTTTTGTGTCTCAGCAATTGTCCAGAGTTTTATTCATCCATAAACTGCAGCATTTCTTACATTCTTACTCTCTTGGCAACTTGTCTCACTGTATGTTTTTTCTTAATCTCTTCAGTTTATATCTTCCTTTGACCCTCTGCACTCTCCTATTTTCTATCTTTAATAACATGCCTTTTCCTTACCCTGTTTCTTCTGGTCCTTTTCTCTGACACCAATAATAGGCAAGCACTACTTTCCCTACATCCCATTAACTCCACACAGAAGCACATTAATTTATTCTTTTTTGGTCCTCAAAGAGCCAGTCATGTACTAACTGCTACAAAGTTATGAGACAAATTCTGCCCTACAGTTCAATAATAATAACCACTTATAGTTTTGACAGTTACTATCTGTTGATGTCCTATATACTAACACTGTGCTAAATAATTTCCTGGAATATCTGCTTCTTAAAAGAACCCTGCTAGACAGTTAATATCTCTGCAGAAGAACAAACAGTCTCAAAGAGGTTAAGTAACTTGCCCAGGGTTACCCTGCCAATGAGTGTCAGTGCCAGGATTGTAGACCCTGTTTGATTCAGAACTGTCTTAAGAACATGTGGAAATTGATGGGCTGTAGGGGAATAAACTTGTGACTTACTTGCAATTAAGTCAGACTCTCTTCACGGCCTTGCTGCCACAGCTTCCCCATAGAAAGGAACTTCTGGACTGGTTGGAGCCTCCACTTGTGATCTCACAATGAGAACTAAAAGCAAACTAAAGAGGAATGTTATACTCTTGATGATTATTGGAACTTGGATTTCAGTTAAGAGTATTGATTGCTAGTGCTTACTTCCATGGGCACTCAAAAAAGCGCTTCATATTTACGGCTCCTTATAACTTCAAAAGGTGGGTACTATTATTACCTTCCCTTACAGATCAATAATTGAAGACATGTAGAGGTTGAATATCTTGTTCTGGAAAGTATAGCTAGTAAGCGCCAAAGACCAAATTTTAACCCAGGTGGGCTGGCTGAAGAAGCTATGCGCTAACCACATTCCACCATTGCTCTGCCAGACACATGAGCTAGAGTTAGCGCTTTACTATGGAACTCTTGCTAACGACTTCTTTTCCTCAATCCAGTAAGTTAACCTCTCTTTTAGTGACATTAAAGGCAGAAAAAAAGGCATAGTGAGATGATGGGGGGAGGAATCCCAAGACTCCCATCCCATAGAGAGAAGTAGCTCATTAATTCTGCCAAGACTAGGTGCCCCATAACCTATAGACAGCTAATTGGCCACAGCTACTAATGGTTAAGAAGGAATGTGAAGATTCAAAGGAAGTGTGCCAGCAACTGAGTTCCCTTTGGCATATAAAAAGGTCACCACTGCTTCTCCGTGTCACTGGGGAGTAAAAGGGCACTCTTCTCTCCTGATCCACACCTTCTGAGTGTCCCATATTTCCAGCCTTCCTCTCAAGCCTCGAATGTGCTCATTCAATCCCCCCTGACTTTGGTTTATTTCCTTTCTCTTTTTAAAATTAAGGTATAATTTACATAATGAAGTGCACATATTTTAATGGACAATTCACTGAATGTGAACAAATGTATACATCCAGACAACCATTACCCTACTGAAGATATAGAACATTTCCATCACTCCAGAAATTTCATCATGCCCATTTACAATAATTCTCCCCATGCTCTAGGCAACCACTGCTCTGATTTCTATCATTTTGTTTTGCTTTTTCCAGAACTTCACATAAAAGATTCATTCAGCACATACTCTTTGTGTTTGGTGTGTTATGCTCTGTACCACAGTTTGGAGAATCATCCCTGTTGTTTTGTGTATCAATAGTCCAATTCTTTTTTAAAAATATCAGTGAGTAGTATTCTCTTGCCTAAATATATCACAATTTTTTCATCCATTCACTTGTTGATGAACATTCAGGTTTGTGGTTGTTTTAAAATATGGCCCCCAATTTTCTTATATCCCCTTCACAAAGTAGAGCCTACTTCCCTTACCTTTGCATGGGAGCTGTACTGAGTGACTCAGTTTTAACAAATAGAATCTGGTAGAAACGATGGGATGTGACATCAAAGACTATGTCACAGTAACATTGTGACTTCTTCTTTGTGGATTGTTTACTTTGGAGGAAGCCATCCTAGCAGTGAATGGAAACACACATATGGGGAGAAACTAAGGCTCCCTACTAAAAACGTGCAACATGTGACTGGGACATCTTGTAAGTGAATCCTTCAGCTTCATCCAAATCTTAGAAATACAATCAGCTGACTTCTTGACTACAATGTCAAGAAAGATCCTAAAATAGATACATCTACTATGTATTCACAAAAAGTTTTTAAAAAGTTAAAAGAAAGATCCTAAGCTAGAATCACCAGCTACTATTTAGCTGCTTCTGAATTGCTGGCCCATAGAAACTGTGAGATAATAAATATTTGTTGTTTGAAGCCATTAAGTTTTGGGATAACTTTTTATGCTGTAATAGAGAAACAGTGTGGGGTGGTTTCCAGTTTTTGCTGTTGTGAATCAATCTGCTATAAACTTTCATGTACAAGTCTTTTGTGTATGTGTATTTTCATTTCTCTTTGGTCAAAACCTATTTGTGGAATTTCAGGGTCATGTGATAGACATTCTAGTGGATATCAGGTGATATCTCATTATAGCTTTTATAGCTTTTTAATTTAATTTTTTTTTTTTTGAGACGGAGTCTTGCTCTGTTGCCCAGGCTGGAGTGCAGTGGCGCGATCTCGGCTCACTGAAAACTCTGCCTTCCGGGTTCACGCCATTCTCCTGCCTCAACCTCCCGAATAGCTGGGACTACAGGCGCCCGCCACCACGCCCAGCTAATTTTTTGTATTTTTAGTAGAGACGGGGTTTCACCATGGTCTCGATCTCCTGACCTCGTGATCCGCCCACCTCGGCCTCCCAAAGTGCTGGGATTACAGGCGTGAGCCACCGTGCCCGGCTTTTTTTTTTTTTAGACTGAGTTTCACTCTGTCGCCCAGGCTGGAGTACAGTGGTGTGATCTCGGCTCACTGGAACCTCCGCCTCCCAGGTTCAAGTGATTCTCCTGCCTCAGCCTCCTGAGTAGCTGGGATTATAGACATGTACCACCATGCCCAGCTAATTATTGTATATTTAGTAGAGACGGTGTTTCACCACATTGACCAGGCTGATCTCGAACTCCTGATTTCAGGTGATCCACCTGCTTAGGCCTCCCAAAGTGCTGAGTTACATGTGTAAGCCACCAAGCCAGGCTAATTTTGAAAATTTTTTGTTGTATATGTATATGCTTAGGATATACAGGATTTCCTTTTTTTTTTTTTTTTTTTTTGAGACAAGTCTCATTCTGTCTCCTAGGCTGGAGTGCAATGGCACGATCTCGGCTCACTAAAACCTCCGCCTCCTGGGTTCAAGCGATACTCCTGCCCCAGCCTCCCAAGTAGCTGGGATTACAGGCGCATGCTGCCACACCCGGCCACTTTTTTGTGTTTTAGTAGAGAGGGGGTTTCACCATGTTGCCCAGGCTGGTCTCGAACTCCTGAGCTCAGGCAATCCACCCGCCTCGGCCTCCCAAATGATGTTTTGATATACATAGTTAAATGATTACTATGGTCAAGCCAATTAACATATCTATCAACTCACAGTTACTTTTCTTGTGGTAAGAGTACTTAAAATCTATTCTCTTAGAAATTTCCAGTATATAATACAATGTTGTCAACTGTAGTCCTCAGGCTATACATTAGATCTCTAGACTTATTAATCTCACAGTAGTTTCTAAATTTACAATTATCCAACAACTAAGTCATTGAGCATCTTTTCATTGGTCATTTATATATTCTTTTGTGAGGTGTCTGTTCAAGTCATTTGTCCATATTTTATAGTGTTTCCTTTTATGATAAAAGTATATGAGTTCTTCATATATTCTGCATAAAAGTCCTTTGTCAAATAAATGCACTGTGCTATTTTTTCAGTCTGTGGTTTGATGTTTCAATTTGAATGGCGTCTTCAAAGGAGAAGAAGCTTTTAAGTTTGATTAACTCAAAATTCATCAATTATCTTTTTGCAGTTAAGTGCTTTTTGAATCCTAAGAAATCTTTACCTATTCTAAGGTCATAAATATTTTCTTTTATGTTCTTCTTTAGAAGCTTTTAATTTCTAGCTTATATGTTTATTTATATGACCCATGTTAATTTTTTTGTATGTTGTGATATAGGAGTCATAATTCATTTTCATACATATAATAAAATATTATGAAAATGGCTGCTTTTTTACACTTGATCTTAGCCAAAAGGCCGAGAAGCGATAAAAAAAATGGCTGCTTTTTTAAACAAATCATAATGGTACAGTTTTTATACCTATATCTGGTTCCTCCAGTACCATTTGTTGCAAAGAATATCGTTTCCTGTATTGAATTATCTTGGTGTCTTTGTGTAAAATCAATAGATCTTATGTGTTTGGCTCTATTTCTGCACTTTCTATTCAGTTCCACTGATCTCACCAGTTGATGACATTTGGATTGTTTCTACTTTTTGGGTGTTACTAATAATGTTCTTATGAAGAGTCATTGAAGGCATATGATTTAAATTGTCTTGGATATTACCTGACAGTGGAATTATTGGGTTGTATAGTAAATTTTTTTTATAAAAAACCTGCCAAATTGTTTTCCAAAGTGGCTCTGTCAATTTTGACATATTCTTGCCAACACTTAATCAGTATTTCACATCTTTGTCAACATCTTATACCATCAGTTTCTTATTATAGTCATTCTAGTAGACTTGTAAGTATTGTGTTTAATTTCATGTTCTTAATAACCAATGATAAAGAGCATCCTTTCATGCCTTTTTTTTCCATCTGGGCCCCAGCTGATTGGATGATACCCATCTATATTGACAGTGGATCTTCCCTACCCAATGAAAGACTATATTGTCCATGAATTCTTTAAAAATGGTTTTAATTTAACTATTTATATTAGATGTTTTGAATCTCTGTTTGCTAAATTCAACAGCAGTCCCACTTACAGTCAGTTTCCATTAACTGCAGTCTTTTCTCTAAGACTTGATTATACTTTCCTGTTTCTTTGCATGTCTCATTTTAGATACTATATTGACAAGTTTATATTCTTATTTTTTTCTAAGAATTATTTTGTTAACATTATTGGACATAATCTGTGGACTGTGTATCTTCCACCATTTATGGCTTCCATGGTCTCAACCTAGCTCTTAAAAATTCATATTTTAAAATCTTGGATCCCAGAAGTTTCCCTTGTTCTTGCACAGCTTAGTGTTCAGTCAATGATTGGGTGAAGGTTTTGGTCAAATACTTTTGATTTCAAAAGGCTTCCATTCTCTGCTAATGCATCTGCCTTTGTGCTGGGACCATATTCAAATTCAGAGAGCTTTTAAGTTTGTCTTGGATTTTACTTCATGCTGGTTTCTCTCATGTTTCTTCTGTACATACCTGTAGTTTCCCAGTCAGCCAGGAATGTGTAGAGATCTTATCTAATTCTTCTATAGCTATCTAATTCCCAGCATCTTCCCATTACATTTCTGATAGGTTCACTGTTCGCCTCATTAAAACTGTAACCTCTGGATACCTGAGCCTTAAACACGATTGAGTTTGTTACTTTTACTGACATAAACCCTAGGCATGAGTTTTTATCTTTGTTCCAAATCATCTCAACCCTCTTTAATAGTGTAATTGTTGATTTTCATGGCCATTCCTGACTGGCAAAACTACCATCAACTAAGTTGGAGTAGTACTGGAGCACTTTTCACAGGACAGGCACAGTTACCTATGATTCTTACCTAAGCTTCTAGCACTGCTTTATGAAAAAGTGGTTCTCAATTTATTATTTGCCTTGGTTTATTTCCAGACACCTGAAATGATTGTTTTTGACAATTTTTCTGGTTTTATAATTTATTTGTGAGGTGGAGGAAGGAAGGATTTGCTGTCCTCTTTAATTCACCATATCTGGTGAATTTTATTTTTAATGTATATATATTAATTTATATTTATTATTTATTTCATAATTTATATTATAATTTTATTTTTAATCTATAAGTGTATTTATGATTAAGCTGTCTTTATATTTAAAGTGCAAGTTTTTTTCTTGGGGATACCATATGGATCCTGAACTTATAAGAGTCTACTCTGACTTAATACAATACCTTTAACATAGAATATAAAAATCTGATAATAATAAAATTAGTTATAATTCCTCCCATTCTTTGTGCAGCTATTGCCGTGTTTTACTTTACATATGTTACAACCCTTGTAATATATTATCATTATTTTTAGACTTTTAATGAATTTAAGAAAAGGAAGAAGATAACTTTTATATACACTTTTATGTTTCCAATCTTGAAAGTTTTTCGTTCCTTCTCATAGATTTGAAACTCCAAATATTATAATTTCTCTATAGCCTGAAAAACTTCCTTTATCCTTTTTTATTCTTTTAGTGAGTATCTTCTGGCAACAAATTTTCTCAGCTTCTTTTTAATTTCAGATGGCTTTATTTTGCCTTCATTTAAGAAAGATTATTTTCCCCCACTGGGTAATTCTAAGTTGGCAGATTTTTTTTCTCTTCACATTTGAAAGATAATTCATAGCCTTCTGACTCCCTTTGTTTCTGTTGAGATGTTGGCAGTCATTTTTATTGTTATTCCTTATTATGCAATATGTCTCTACCACTTCAGCGGGTTTTCAGATTTTTCTTTTTAAATCTTTGTTTTTCTCAGTTTATGATGTATGTAGATGTGGTATTGATAATGTGGATTGCTATTTTTATCGAATTTGAAAAAATTTTGCCAACATTTTTTGAACAATTTTTTTGTTTGCCCTTTTATCTCTCTTCTCCTTTTTTTCCCCTAATTTTTATTTTAGTTTCAAGGGGCACAGGTGCAGGTTTGTTACACGGGTAAATTGCGTGTCATTGGGGTTTGGTGTACAAATGATTTTGTCACCTAGGTAGTGAGCACAGTAACCAATAGGTAGTTTTTTGACCCTCACCATCCTGCCATTCTTCCAACTCAAGTAGGCCCTGGTGTCTATTGTTACTTTCTTTGTGGTCATGTGTATTCAATGTTTTGCTCCCACTTACAAGTGAGAACATGCAGCATTTGGTTTTCCAATCCTGCTTTAATTTGTTTAGGATAATGGTCTCCATCAGGATCCATGTTGCTGCAAAGGCCATGATTTCATTTTTCATGGGTGTATAGTATTCCATGGTATATAAGTACCATGCATTTTTCTTCTCCAGTCCACTGTTGATAGGTATTTAGGTTGATTCCATGTCTTTGCTATTGTGAACACATACACATACATGACTCTTTATGGTAGAATAATTTATATTCCTTCGTGTATATTTCCAGTAATGAGATTGCTGGGTCAAATGGCAGTTCAGTTTTAAGTTCTTTGAGAAATCTCCAAACCACTTTCAACATACATTCTCAGCAGCATGTATGAGCTAACATACATTCTCAGCAGCAGTGTGTAAGCATTCCTTTTTTCTCCACGATGCTTCCAGCATCTGTTATTTTTTGAGTCATTCTGACTGATATGAGATGGTATCTCACTGTGGTTTTCACTTGCATTTCTCTAATGAATAGTGATATTGGGCATTTTTTTCATGTGCTTCTTGGCTACATGTATGTCTTCTTTTGAGACGTGTCTGTTCATGTCCTTTGCCCATTTAAAAAAAATTTTTTTTCTCTTTAAGTTCCTTATAAGCTCTGGATATTAGACTTTTGTCAGATGCATAGTTTGCAAACATTTTCTCCCATACTGTAGGCTGTTTATTTACTGTCTTGATGGTTTCTTTGGCTGTGCAGAAGCTCTTTAGTTTAATTAAGTTCCACTTGTCTATTTCTGTTTTTGTTTCCATTACTTTTGACAACTTTATCATGAAATCTTCACCCATTTGTATGTACAGAATGGTATTTGCTGGATTTTCTCCCAAGGTTTTTATAGTTTTAGGTTTTACTTTTAAATCTTTAATTTACTTCGAGTTGACTTTTGCATATGGTGAAAGGAAAGGGTCCAGTTTCAATCTTCCTAATACGGCTAGCCAGTTAGCCCAGCACCATTTATTGAATAGTGAGTGCTTATTTTTGTTGACTTTGTTGAAGATAAGATGGTTGTAGGTGTGCGGCATTATTTCTGGGTTCTCTGGTCTGTTCCATTGGTCTATGTATCTGTGTTTGTAACAGTACCATGCTATTTTGGTTACTGTAACCTTGTAGTATAGCTTGAAGTTGGATAATGTGATGTCCTCAGCTTTGTTCTTTTTGCTTAGGATTGCTTTGGCTATTTGTGCTCTTTTTTGGTTACATATGAATTTTAGAATAGTTGTTTCTAGTTCTGTGAAAAATGTCATGGGTAGTTTAATAGGAATAGCATTGAATCTGTAAGTTACTTTGGGTCATATAACCATTTGGATAATACGGATTCTTCCTATTCATGAACATGGAATGTTTTTTCCATTTTTTGTGTGTGTTGTCTCTGATTTCCTTCAGCAGTGTTTTGTAATGCTTGCTTGTTGTAGAGGTCTTTCATCTCTCTGTCTAGCTGCTTTCCTAGGTATTGTGTGTGTGTGTGTGGCTATTGTGAATGTAATTGCACTGTTGATTTGTCTCTCAGCTTGGACATTGTTGCCATATTCTGTGCCATGCCAGATGGAGTACTTAACAGAGCAGTGGATGTTGTAATGAACATATGTCTGCTTTTAAGATTCCAATAAAATATTTTAGGATTATAGCTGTGGACAGCTTTCAGTTTTTCAAGGATGAGGTTGGATTCTATACCCGGGACATAATTAGGCTGAGCATTCTCAGGAAAGTTAAGATCACTACAAGCCTCTCCACTCTACCCAAACACTGAGTTTCTGTTGTGAGGGATGACCCAGCAGGTCTGGGATAGCTGTTGAGAGTTTTGATACTATGGTTGGGCCTAAGAGGGAGGCTGCATGGGAGAAGCCAAACTACCAGCTGGGGCTGTGGGACAGTGGTGGAACCAAGGACAAATGTAGTCCCCTGTTTTAACAATGACCATTGTTGTGTTTTTTTTCCTCTTCTAGGGTCTTTCTACATCCCATATCTTAGTTACTCATAAAACTGTGCTGCCACAGGCCCATTTTTCGGTGAGAAAGCTAGAAAAGTTGGAGGACTTATTCTAAGTCACGCTGTTACCAGCCTAGAGGGGCATCTCAGTGTTTTGAGCAGCTTCTCGTTTTGTGAGCTTTGTGGATGAGTGGTAAGAAAGATGGTCATTTGGGCCGGGCACGGTGACTCAGGCTTGTAATACTAGCACTTTGGGAGGCTGAGGCAGGCAGATCACCTGAGGTCAGGAGTTCAAGACCAGCCTGGCCAACATGGAAAAACCCCATCTCTACTAAAGATACAAAAATTGGCTGGACGTGGTGGTGCATGCCTGTAGTCCCAGCTACTCTGGAGGCTGAGGCAGGAGAATTGCTTAAACCTGGGAGGTGGAGGTTGCATTGAGCCGAGATCATGCCACTGAACTCCAGCCTGGGAGTCAGAGCGAGACTCCATCTCCAAAACAACAAAAAAAAGAGAAAGATTGGTCATTTATGGGTGGGTGGGTGTATTCGAAGGAAATGTTCAGTTGTGAGGATATCAGAAGAAGGAAGAAAAATCATAACTGGGAAAGAAAGATACTTTTTTGTGAGACGTAGCTTGAGTAATTTATTTTTGATATTTGATTTTTTGAAATATTTTTTGAGTACTTAACATATGTAGAGATTAGAAACTTCTGGTAATTAAGAGGGGGCAAGATAGCTAGAGTATCATTTAGTATAGGATTATAGGGAGGTATTTGAAGTTTTCTTCTTCTTTCCTTTTCTTTAAATAGTAAAACTGAACAGAGAGTAGAGAGGTTTTCTGTATACCTCCTGCCCTTCCTCCCTAGGTGGACTCTCCTACTAACAACATCCCATATTAGAGTGGTAATTTGTTATAACTGATAAACTTACACTGACATATCATTATCACCCAACGTCCATTGTTTACTTCAGGACTCACTCTTGGTACTATATATTCTATGTGTTTGGACAAGTGAATCCTAGTACATACAGAATAGTGTGACTGCCCCAAGGTTCTCTGTGCTTTCTATTCATCATTCCTTCTCTGACCCCATACTCCTGCTGTAACCTCTGGAAACCACTGATATTTCTACTTTCTTCATCATTTTGCCTTCACTGAAAGAGTTTTAAGGCATATTGATTAGGAGAAGTTAGAGGTTAAAGTAAAAGAAGGAGAGGTAAGAGGTCACCAGTCATTAAAAATACATTGAAGGCAAGAAAAGTGTTGGGAGAAGGGATCATAAAAAACATGAGTACTTCAAAGGGAAATAGGGATGAGAGCTACTGGGTAATATCAGGAAATTTTTAAAAAGAAGGTGTTTATTGGAATTGGAGATGGAAGTCATGGGAAGCAGGAGTTCTAGGACACCAGAGGTCAAAGTGTCCAGTATGATAAGAAGGAATACAGAAGGCTTGAAAAGGAATAAGAATTCATTAGAGGAGTTGAGTGGCATGCAGAATGGACACAGAAAATTGCCAGAACTGGCCAACTCGAAAATGGGGCTTTTGCCGACAGTTTGGTGCCTACTTAAACAGAATGTATCACTTGGTTGTCAGACATTATTCTATAGTGGCAGGATTCTATGACTTGCCCTTCCTTTCCCAGATTTCATGATTTTCTCAAGTGACCCTTATGGGGCATCCAAATGTGGCAACATAATAATTCATGGACACCAGAATTATCCAAGAGGAACTGGAGAGACAACAGCATTGGAGGGCCATCCAAGACCCCCAGTAGTCCTTTCTGTACTTGGTCTCCATGTGCCATCTTCACTTCCTTAGAAAGGGTCGTGTGGCTGGGTGTGGTGGCTCACGCCTGTAATCCCAGCACTTTGGGAGGCCGAGGTGGGCAGATCATGAGGTCAAGAGATCGAGACCATCCTGGCCAACTTGGTGAAACCCCATCTTTACTAAAAATACAAAAATTAGCTGGGTGTGGTGGCGCACACCTGTAGTTCCAACTACTTGGGAGGCTGAGGCAGGAGAATCGCTTGAACCCAGGAGGCGGAGGTTGCAGTGAGCCGAGATCACACCACTGTACTCCAGCCTGGGCGACAGAGCTAGACTCCTTCTCAAAAAAAAAAAAAAAAAAAAAAAAAGAAAGGGTCATGTTGATCACTTTTGGATCTTTTTTGATGACCAGTAGAGTGCTATAGACTGGCTAAAAGAAAGAACTGAAGGAACTGTGACTCATTTACTTTCTATAGAACACCAGAGAGAAAGCCAAGGAATGCAAAGAATGCATATCCAGTGTCAAGGAGGAATGGGGAATGAGCTGAGTTCCTAAGGAGGCCCAGCCAGGCCATCCCAGAAACAGGAAGAATTAAAAGCCTCATCATCTAGCAGAAATCCTACAGTATTTATTTCACTAATTTGTTTTAGGTCCTCTCTTTGGATAATACAGAAGAATAACTCTACAATGGCCTCATTTATACTGCCAGAGGGCCCATAATGGTGATTCTCCAAAGAGTATATGGCCTGCATTCTCATTCACAATTGGGACGCACCCCTGTACTTATCTCTAGTCCTCCTTCAGTTCATTTCCAGACCCATGCTAGTGCAAGACTTAAAAGTGCTCCAGCCAGAAGAGTCTTCTACCACTCGTTCAAATTCATTCAACAAATAAATATTATCAAGTATAAAATTCCAAATTGGCATCAATAATATAAAACTGTCAATGCAAACCCCATTTTTCAAATTGACTATTTTTAGGAGCTGAATAAAGATCAAAATGATAAGCCCAATGTGTATAGGTATCTGTGGTCCATTGCAAAAATGAACTATTTCCCAATGGCTGCTTTAGAAAGTTTCTATTTGAAAGGCAGTAAATAAGAGGCATCATGATTGCCTAGGGCAGTATTTTTACCCTTGGAGTCAAGGATGGTCAGGGTTTCTATGTTTATCATTTGTATTCTTTTATGCAAATGGGGAATTAGGTCTAGATACCAAGAACTAGACCAGGATCTTATTGGGGTCGGAAATTAGGAGTAAAGCCAGTCCACAGGAATATCATGAACTGAAAAACAAAGAGGCAGAAAACATTGTTCTGGATGATAAGTTCCAGTTATTAGGTAAAATATTCTCGTGAAAAGTTGAGTAATTTATTTAGGTCCATCAGGGTGCCTATGGTCGACAGAGTCCTCAACTGTGTTATTTCCGCTGCTTGGGTTCTAAACCACCTTTTGACCTATTATTTGGCTTTCTGAAGAGGGTGATTGCAAAATGGATCTTATTATGCAGACCAGGTGTGCTGCTTATTCAGAACTCAGCAGTTACTTTGGCTCTAAATCAGCCTCCTGAGAAGTCAGTATTGGTAAGTCAGTCATTTCATTAGGGCTTGGTCACTGACTGGTATATTATCAACCATGTTTTTTTCAGGCATGCTGAGGTTGAAGCAAATGGGAGAGAGATGACTTTTAACTTCTGTGCTTCCACCTCCTCATTCTCTCAAGTGGCCGAATGTCTAACCTCAGTCAATCGTTGTGCCTTGAGGCTTGTTTCTCTAACTATATCCATACATATGTGGTGAATAAATATATCTATCATTCTTGGGTGCAAGTGCCCTGACTCCTGCTGCTTCTCTGCAGTGCCTCTAATTGGTTAAGAAGGTTGTGGCTTGGCTTTCCAGGCCCCTGGCAGGTGACATTGTCAGTCCTGGCTGCCAGGAGAGGAAACATCCAGAAAATGCTATTGCACAAACCAGGTGGTGGTTATGGTAGATGAGACAGATTAATAATATTGCCTCTTCTTGCAGGAAATGGGATTGGGTGATGAGGAGGGAGATAGGCAAGGGAAGCTCAGGGAAGGGAGGAAGTGGGTCTGGGCTGCAGTGAGAATGAAGGAGAATGAAGAGGATCCACTGAAAAGCTGAGCAGAGGAGAAATACAAAGGAAGTTGACCAGATTGCCAGCACTATGTAGAATAAGGCACACTGTGGGAACTTGATAATTATTCGCAGACTTGAAAGAAGTGTAAAGGGTTAGCCAAAAGAAAAAAAAAGTTGAATAGATGATGGGTGGCATCTTTGAAGCTTGAAGTTTGCACTGAGATCCCACTTTCTGTTTTTCTCAACTCTCAGAGGATCAACCCTGGAATCTTTTGTGTAGCAAGCCTGGTCAGCTCCTAATCCTTCTCCTTATGTCCCTGGGAGACCCAGAGCCCCTGTTTCTTGGTGGCCCTGATGTACCTGAGTTCTCTTCTTTCTTCTACAATATTTCCTCTTCCAACTCTTTCCTAGTCTTCCCTGACTGGAAAGAGTTAAGGCCAGTGAGGGCACACAACCTAGAGAGGCAGAGAGGCTGGCAATGGACAAGCACACGCTCCCATTTCCAGGACTGAGCCACAGCCTTTGTTCAGTGTCTCTTCCTGAGTCCTACATCCCTTTCCTGGCCCCTGTGTAAGATCCCCACGTGCTAGGCTCTCCAAGCCCTCCCTAGGGCACTGATTTGTGAATCCCAGAGAGCTCAGTGGGGAGCAGAAACGCAGGGGGACCATGCTGCCACAGGAGGAGCTGATGCAGGGAAGCAGTGAGCATAGACTGTGGGAGTGAGCTCTGGTTGGGAGGTTTCTCCAAGCCCTGTGAAGAGATTGGCCTGGGATGCACAGAGATGGCTTTCCTTGTGAGCCGGTGAGTCTTCCTCTGAGGTCTTTTTTGTTCTTTCTCTTTTCTCTGCTCAGTTCTTCAGCCTGCCTCTGTTTCTTCTTTCTCTCCTTCTCCCTTCCCTTCCATCTGACTTCTACCCTCCCTCCCTGATGCCACAGTCACTTCTTACTTCAGTTCTGCAAAGCTAAAGAATGAGGATACTGGCTGGGCACAGTGGCTCACGCCTGTAATCCCAGCTCTTTGGGAGGCCAAGGCAGGTGGATCATGAGGTCAGAAGTTCGAGACCAGCCTGGCCAACATGGTGAAACCCCGTCTTTACTAAAAATACATAAATTAGCTGGGCATGGTGGTAGGCTCCTGTAATCCCAGCTACTCAGGAGGCTGAGGCAGGAGAATCGCTTGAAACCAGAAGGCAGAGGTTGCAGTGAGCCAAGATCGTGCCACTGCACTCTAGCCTGGGCAACAAGAGTAAAATCCTGTCAAAAAAAAAGAAAGAAAGAATGAGGATACTTCTGGTAGCAGATACCATCAGGAGCTGGGGTGCACTATAGTGAGTGGGTCCCATGGGATTAGGGAAGTTGAGGAAGGGAGTGTCAGGGAGAAAGGTTGGTAGGAGGAAATATTAGGGACAGAGCAGTGGGATTTCAAGAAGCAGGTCAAGTTTTGCTCAGGGGCAATGGCAGGTGTGAGTAAGGGAGATGTGAGGTTCAGGAAGGTAGAATACAGTGGGGGAAGACTCAATATGGGGATCACTGATGGACTCTCCCTAGCTTTTGAGTGGTGTTTGTCTTGAAAACCAATGACTGTGCTTATATTGCCCAGGATTAATGTAGTTCAAGGTCCCTTGGTAGCTATCTATGGTGGAGAAAGAGCATTTGCTGCAATCTTCCTTCTGGTTCTTTGTGAGAGTATCAGCTATAAGAAGCATATAGTCCTTGGGACAAATAAGCACAGAATAGTGGATCTGGAACTCAATCCAGAGCTCATTTGATTTAGCCTTTATGTTTATTGATGATGAAATTGAAAACCAAAAAGATGATGCAAAGAGTTTGCTCTAGGTCCTGTAAAGTTTTAGTAACGGAGTAGAGATCACAACCCATGTCTTCAATCTTTACCAAGGTGTATTAGTCTGTTTTCACACTGCTGATAAAGACTTACCCAAGGCTGGGCAATTTACAAAACAAAGAGGTTTATTGGACTTACAGTTCCACATGACTGGGGAGGCCTCACAATCATGGTGGAAGGCAAGGAGGAGCAAATCACATCTTACATGGATAGTAGCAGGAAAAATGAGAGCTTGTGTAGGGCAGCTCCCATTTCTAAAACCATCAGATCATGTGAGACCCATTCACTATCACAAGAACAGCACAGGAAACATCCACCCCCATAATTCAATCATCTCTCACCAGGTCCCTCCCACAACACATGGGAATTATGGGAGCTACAAGATGAGATTTGGGTGGGGACATAGAGCCAAACCATATAACCAGGGATTTTCCATTCAATACTTTCCCCTGTCTATTTTTTTTTTTTTAATTACTGATTGGTGGCTCTAAGTCTTGCTCCAGAAAGACTAATGTGCTGGGTTACATAAATGTACAGAAAATAAGGATGAGAGAGACTGGACAAAGAAAAAGGTAGAATAGAACAACAACAACAACAGCAAGTGAGACCAGAAACTAGATATCTCAAAAATATATCGTGAGGAATTGCACATTTCCTGGAGATGAGTTACAAATTCAGGTGGAAACTTGCTAGCTGTCATGTTAAGAGGAAAAGTGATTACTTAATTTCTTAAAAAATTAAACATACACTTCCCATGTGATGCAGCCATTTCACATCTATGTATTTACCCCAGAGAAATGAAAGCATACAAAGACTTTGTACACAAATGTTCATAGAACCTTCATTCTATGAACCAAAAACTGGAAACAACCTGAACTTCCTTTAGCAGGTGAATGAATAAAAAATTGTGAAAACAACCCAAATTTCCTTCAGCAGGTGAATGGATGAACAAATTATGTCATATCTATACAATGGAGTATCACTCAGAAATGAAAAGGAATGGCTGCTGTACACACCACAACATGGCCAAATCTCCAAATATAAGTCAGACTAAAAAGAGTACATATTTTATAATTTCATTTATATAAAACTCTGAAAAAAGAAAAATATAGTGCTGGGAAGCAGATCAGAGGTTGCTTGGGAATGAGGAGTGCAGGGAGGGGTGAAAGAGAGAGATTACAATGGAGTGTGAGGGAGCACGGGGGCTGGATATGTTCATTTCGTGATTGCGCCTATAATGTCATGGTGCATACATGGGTCAAAACTTATCAAATTGCACACTTAAACATGTACAATTTGTCATATGCCAATTGTACTTCCATAAAACTGTGAGGAAATGTTATTGCTTATATGACAGGAAAAATACAGTGATTCCTATCACTGAGATATGAGAAAAATGATCCCTCTGAGAGTTTCATAATGTTGCTTCTTGTAATCTTTCTCAATGTAAACCAATGGCTTAATGCCAAAACACTCTTTAGCAAGACCAGTTCTAGGAAAGATGAGTTGATGGAGATATGTAGGAAGTGGAAATATTTCAGCATTTTAAATGTGTAGCTCTGTGCTCATCTGCTTTAGCTTGGGGATAAGATTTAGATTTTAAATTATCAGAGGAAAAGCTGTTTTGACAATCCTTTAGGCAACCCTTCTTAAATGCTGTTCCTCGCTATTGCAGTTTTGTTCAATTGAAGAGCAGTAGTTGTGAGGTTTTCCACATTGATAAAATGAGTTTGAGGAAGGCCACACAACCCCTTTTGGGGGGTGGGGACAGGGAGTAACACCTTTGTCTTTTCGCTTTACATTTTGAGTGTTTTCTTACTTTGCAAACTGTTCTCTGATAGTTTCATGAGAATCAGTGCTTTCTTAACAGGACAGCAAGTGCTCTCTGGACAGAATCACCACCCTGTATGTACTTGATATTCTCCACAGTGCCAAAGAGCAATAGGCACATAGAAAGTTTGCAATAAATACTGTTGCATTTGAATAAAGTGTTGGAATGATATAAAGTATGTAGATTGCACTTTTAATTATTAATAAATACTTGCCTCTTGGAGATGGCTGTTTTTGATTCACCCTCTCAGCTTATTCCACTTATTTGTTCTGCAGTTCACTGACTCTCCTGCATATCATAGCCCTTATATTTGCTCTTCCGTGTCTTGGTAGTTTTTGGCTCATATCTGTGCTGGGTAGCAGTTTCTGTTAACAGTGATGTATAGAGCCTCTTCTTCCACCTTCCTCTGGGTCTCTTGTGGGTTCCAATGCCACTGATATTTCAAGAATACCCTTCTCTTCCCAGCAAAGTCACCCCATGTGAGCCAAACATTAGCCTTTGCGCTGACCTGTCTGACTTGCTAACAAAAACATCTATCAAGATACTATTTTGTGCCAGATATTAAGCTTGATTGTTTGCAAGTCTACAAATCCTCACAAAAACCCAATGAATTAGACTCTGTTGTTACCGCAACTTTATAGATAAGAAAATTAAGGCTCACATAAAAACAAAACAGAACAAAACAAAAAACAAACAGATTATGTCCTTTGCAGCAACATGGATGGAACTGGAGGTCATTATTCTAAGCAAACTAACACAGGAACAGAAAACCAAATACCATATATTCTCACTTAAAAGTGGGACCTAACACTGAGTACACATGAACACAAAGAAAGGAACAACAGATACCAGGACATAATTGAGGGTGGAGGATAGAAGAAGGGTGAGGATCAATAAACTGCTTATCAGGTACTATGCTTATTACCTGGGTGACTAAATAATCACTGTGAGGTGAAATTTACCTATATAACAAACCTGCACATGTACCCTTGAATCTAAAATAAAATTTAAAAAAATTAAGGCTCAGAGAGATTATATCATTCACCTGTGATCACTTAGCTAACTAGCTGGAAAAAATAAGACTTGACTTTAAGTCTGTCTGACATCAGAATCTGTTCTCTTAACCTCTGCGGCATATGAATTTCCATAAGAACTTACCTTCATTGAAACTTTTGTGGCCACTCCTTACTTCTTGAGGAATCTGTCTTTAGCTGGTAGTAGATTTAATTAGGTATAATTATGTTTGCTAAGGTACTAACCAGTAGTACCACCCAAGAAACAAATGCCTTACCTAGGACGTACAAATGTCAAATGACTTTAAGGATCATTGTTGTGGCTGAAAATTTTATTACCTTGCTAGTCTGATAAGGATAATATTTTGTAACTTTATCCCTGGTTGTCAACTTGCTCTGCTTCTGAAATTGATCCTCCATCCTGGGTTTCTTGTTTCTTGCAACAGAAAGCGGAATAGAATATGTATGTGTTGTGAGGGTCTGAGGAGCGCATTTGACTACGGTAGCTTTTCAAAGATAAGTTTGTCTTTCTGACAGGCTGGCCCTCCCCTAATGTGAAGAAAGACCTTAAGGGAGACTCTTTGATCCTTAGGTATTTGGGACTGACTCAGAGCACTGCACAGAAGTCACTATCGCCCCCTTTTCAAATCTCCATAGGCACCGTTTTCTGGATGGTTCTCTTTAGGGCAGCTTTGACCTCTGTGTTCCGCAGGCTGTAGATGATGGGGTTGAGGATGGGGGTGACCACAGCATAGAAGAGGGACACCAGAGGGTCAGTGGCCGGATCGTAGCTGGCCTTAGGGCGAATATAGATAAAGAGTGCGGTGCCATAGAAGAGGGAGACCACGATCAGGTGGGAGGAGCAGGTGGAGAAGGCCTTGCGGCGGCCCGCAACAGATGGGATCCGGAAGATGGTAACGAGGATACGCCCGTAGGAGCCCAGGATGAGGCCAAAGGGGCAGAGGATGAGGAGGGCTGTTGCCAGGATAATCTGCAGTTCATTAAGCGAGGTGTCTCCACATACCAGCTGCAGGACAGGCTGGATCTCACAGAAGAACTGCTGGATGGTATTGGGGCCGCAGAAGGGCAAAGAGAAGATGAAAGGGGTGTGGCCCAGCCCCACCAGCACCCCACAGGCCCACGCCGACCCAGCTAGCTGTAGACACACCCGGTGGCTCAGCAGCAGTGGGTAGCGGAGGGGTTCACAGATGGCTGCATAGCGGTCATAGGCCATGGCTGCCAGGAGGCAGCACTCCGTGGCGCCAAAGAAGAGGAAGAAGAACATCTGGAGAGCACATCCAGAGCGAGAGATGTGGCGCCGGCCAGTAAGGAGGTGGTGAAGTAGCAGGGGGACCGTGACAGACGTATAGCCAATCTCCAAGGCCGAGAGGGTGCGCAGGAAGAGGTACATAGGGGACTGGAGGGCAGCATCAGTGGAGACCAGCACCACAATGAGGAAATTGCCTGCCACGGTCAGCAGGTAGATAGTGAGAAAGACAGAGAAGAGCAAGCCCTGGAGGTCGGCCAGGTGGGAGAAGCCGAGAAGAAGAAACTCAGTCACCATGGAGGTGTTTGCACTCATCCTGCCTGCATACCTTTGACTGGAAGACAAAAGAAATGGCAAGGAAAAATCACAACTATGGAATCGTGAAATGGGCAAAGATGACCTCTCTCTGCATCTGATCGCAGCACTAGATCTCCCTTTCTATTAGAATATCATGGACTTTGAAATTAGGCAGCCTTGCCTGGAGTCCATATTCCACCCTTGCTCACTCTTGGGATCCTGGATGAGTATTTGTCTCTCTGAGCCTGAATCCCTGACTTCATCTCTTCCTGATAGTGCCTATCATTCTAAAGAACATGTTAAACTGTCTTTCCAGTTTTACCTGGGCTGAAGATTAAGTCAGTCTAGCTCCCTTTTCACTCTTTTCTGATTTTCCAATTCTTCCTGCAGGGCTGGAGACAGAATTTTCCCTCATAGCAGATCTTTTTCTCCATCAACTTGTCTCCTGTCTGATAAGAGGTGACCTCTCTTATCACCTCTTGCCCTCTAGTTTTCTTTTTTCCAGCTCTTTCTTTAGTTACCAGATTCACTTAGTCTTTCTTCTTTTTCTGTCATTTTACCATAAATTTCACAGTGTTCAAGGAGGAGAAAAAAAATGAGAAAGATCCTCTCTTTTTAAGCTCCTATAGCATTAAACAGTTCAACTATTTAGAGGGGTGAGCATTTCTCTAGTTTTAAAACATGCTCAGGCAAAAGATGACAAGAACTTCCTTAATTGCTTATTTCTGCATCTTACAGACTTTCAAACTTAGTCCTCTTACATTGTAAACATGAAAATCCCCAAACTACACACATAAACTCCACAAATTCACACACTGTCAAATTATATTTCAAAATACAGGCACAGAAGAATAGCCTAATATTCCCAGATGCCAGATTTATCTAAAGTTGCAAATCATGTATTCTATTGGCATTATTACAGATAACAGTAAAAGTCTAAATACACTGAACATAAAACTATAAACACCCAAAGATACACTTGAATATATACACAAATTCAATATTCCAGCCATATTCAAGGTTGTGTATTAGAAATACAAGTCCACACACTGATATCCTTTTGCAGTTGAAGAGCCCTTGGTTCATTCTCCTCTGGGGGCTCTTTCAGTGTTTTCCAGAAGATATTATCTCAAAGGTGTCTTTCTATTTTCTATTTGGAGAAATAACCAGTGAAGGCAGATGGCATTTGTGACTTGCTTATCTTCTTTTTTATCTACATAGTGGATCCCTCTTGAGGAAGCCTCTCTTAGGTTTGTTGTCTCTCTTTAAGCTCTCTGAGGATCTGAGTCTCCAAGCATTCTTGGCTTTCCAATGGGGAGAATGCTTCACAAAACCAATTAATCTGTTATTTTGAATCTGTTTCTTAGATTGCAAGAAATACAGAATGACCTGTTAAGAACATTTCAAAGAATATATCCAGAGCTATTGGTTTCTCTTAGTTCTCCCATATCTCTGGTTCAACCATTTTAATTTTCTTCTTTTTTCTCATGATTTTTTCCCATCACTGTAGATGTTCTAGTACATCTACAAAAAGTAATAATGCAATTTTACCCTTCTTATGTATATTGATATAATCCAGTAATCAATTTATTTGATAACTATTTATAGGGTCCCTTGCAGGTTTTATTGATTCTACAGGTAACTAATAATATAAAAGAGAAATAAACATGTTTTGACCTAATTGAGGTGCTAAATGTCATTTTCTTATACAATTGTCACTAATTTTTCTTGCTTTGATTTCTTTTTCATTTATTATACAAATCTTTCTTTGCATTTTTATCATTGGTATCTATTATTTGATTTGTTTCTTCTGTGTTTTTATACATTTTCATAGATGTGATAAAAGCTGTGTGTCAAATAGAATGTTTTCAAGACATACCAACCATTATAACAAGCCCCAACTCCAACGGGTTTAAGTAATAAATTTACTTATTAATTTATATAACTAGAAGTTCAGGGTTTACATAAACTGGATTTCGTACTTAGTTTTCTTCTGACTCCTTTATATTTTATCATTTCATTTATTTATTAGATTTGGCTGAAAGTAATGGAAATGCCAATGGCTCAAAGAGAATGAAAATTTATCTCTCACTTAAATGTCTAAAGATTTGTAGTTCAGGGAAATATGGCTGCTCTGATCCAGAATTCCTCAGGAATCTGTTTTCTCTCAGCTCATCAGTCATCTACTCCCAGAGTGTAGCCCTGTTATGGCTGAAGATGATGCCATTAATGTTACAGGGAACAGAATGGAGTAGAATAATTTGGATTGCTATTTGTCCACTCTTAGTGTAACCTATGTAGTATTATTGCTAAAAATGTTTAATTGGAGTATAAGAAAACAGTCAGACAAATCCATATTGTGGCATATTCTATAGACAACTGACACAAACTCTTAAAAAATATCCATGTCTTTAAAGACAAAGCAAAGATGGGAGATGACATCGTTCCAGATTGAAGAAGACCAAAAGCCATGGCAATAAAATGTCATTCATGATTTTTGACTGGATCCTACGTCATCAACAAAACAAAATAAAAACAACTATAAAAAAGATTTGGAACAAGTGGGAAAGTTGAATATGGGTTTTATATTATTGGTTCAATGTTAATTCCCTTGGGTGTAATAATAGTATTGTGGTTATGCTGGAGAATATTCTTGTCATTAGAAAGATGCAGAATGGCTGCATAGTATTCCATGGTGTGTATGTGCCACATTTTCTTAATCCAGTCTATCATTGTTGGACATTTGTGTTGGTTCCAAGTCTTTGCTATTGTGAATAGTGCCACAATAAACATACATGTGCATGTGTCTTTATAGCAGCATGATTTATAATCCTTTGGGTATATACCCAGTAATGGGATTGCTGGGTCAAATGGTATTTCTAGTTCTAGATCCCTGAGGAATCGCCACACTGACTTCCACAATGGTTGAACTAGTTTACAGTCCCACCAACAGCGTAAAAGTGTTCCTATTTCTCCACATCCTCTCCAGCACCTGTCGTTTCCTGACTTTTTAATGATCGGCATTCTAGCTGGTGTGAGATGGTATCTCATTGTGCTGGCGCTTTTCGAAAGCAGCCGCTGCGGCCGCCCAACGCCAAGAACGCTTCGCGAGCAGCGCCATCTTGAGCGAGGAAAGAGGAACCGAGAGAAGAGGATTGCGGGCCACTGGCCGACTGAATTCCGTATTTTATCTTTTCTTATTGCATTTTCAGAACTGAAGATACAGCTGACAGAGCACTGAACTAGGCCAGGGTTTTAATGCTGGCTCTATGACTAACCTATTCTATAACTTTGTACAATTCACTTCATTTTAATGAGACTCATATTTCTCATCTTTAAAATGCAGACACAGCTGATTCTTATTATTCACTGCAGTTGCATTCTATAAAGTTGCCTTGAACCCTGTAGGAGCAAATATTAAATAATTCCTTGCTTTAGGGGAGATGCAGGGTTAGATTCCTATGAGTTTTTGGTCACATTTTTGTCACCTGATCAATAAATAACCTTATTGTAAGTGTGTTTCTGTTTAAACACATCTTATATAATATATATCGTTGATCATTAACGTTGAACCCACAGCCAACAGCCCTATAACACATGCCTGAACAGAGCTTATCTAGCAAATGCATTTTCTCCGTAAGATCCATTGCAACCTTTTTGTGCTCAGGAGCATGGGACAGCACTTCAGCGCTACATTTGGGGCTATTTTGAATTATGAAATCACCAAAAAACAAACAAAAAATGTGAAAAATATGGCATTCAGCAAATCAGGAAATCATGAAAAGGACACTTGTTTACAGTATAATAGCTGAAACAAGAGGACAGAGCGTTTCCTTGCTCAGCATCAGGTGGGGATGCATACAGTGTGTCTCAAACTTTTTGTCACTGTGTTCATGCACTTGTCCATGAACGACTGCGAAGGTGCTGTGAGTATTGAGCTAGGGGTTAAAAATAGATGTTAGGGAGCAGGTGACTTTGCAAATACTGAATCCACAAATAATGAAGGTCAACTCTATTGCTAGTCATGTCTACTGGTGGAATGTTTGGAACTTTCTTTTCAACCGGACATTGTGTTAATATATTTTTAGAAGGCCAGGGATTATGAATCAAGTGACCATTTTTATTTTTTCATTCATGCATTCATGCATTGCTACTTATTCACTAATCATTTATGACACAGCTAAAATATTCTTGGGATACAAAGATGAATAGGATACACCATCTGCCCTGGATAATATTTACTTCTAATTCGTAGTCTAGTGAAGAAGAAATCTAAATGGTAAGACTATGTAAATCTCTAACAGAAACCACAAAGAGCTATAATTTGTTTTTGTAAAATCCTGCTGGGTTGAATACTATCTCTTTTGTATTAAAATATATTGTTAATCCTCAAGAAGTTTTCAAAGATAAGAGATTGAACAATATTTTGGGTTAGGTCCATGATGTACTGTTATTAAAGTTTCTATGGATTCAGATTGCCTTGGATGCCTAGGCTGGAGTCTAAGGAACAAATAATCAGAAAACATCACTGAGCTCGAGCTTATGAAATATTTTAGTAACATGGGAGACTCATGGAAATGTGTGGTTTCTTTTCCAACTGGAATTACTGATACAAAATAGGATATATATGTGACCAAAGCCAAACAACATAAATGGTTGTCAAACTTGAGCTTGAAGTTAGCCCCCGTGAAGCATCCCATAGTCACTTCTGAGAGTTTGCAAGATGTGTTCAGGAATGTCTCCTCTGGTCCTTCCTCTCTTGTGTCTTTTCTGTGCCTTCAAGCTGCTGCTCTGTGAGAGCTGACTGACTCTTTTTATTTTGTCATCCTTTGCAGTGGTTGACATTGCTTTCTCCACCCTGGCTGTGGGAACAGCAACCACTGTCCCCTGTACCTGCTTTTTCTAAGCAAGGCCACAGGCCCTCTTAGAATTCTCCTAGTACAACATATATCAAGTTGTAGCTTATAGAATAATTTACTGTAGTTCTAACTTAGTGGAAAGTAAATGTAGTGCAGAGAATTATATGCTGTTATACTGATCCACACACACTTGAATTCCACTAGGTAATTTATGTGGCCAAGGGTATATTTCATTTCATTTGGAACTACTTATAATCTTTTCACGTCTTGCAGTTTAGGCCAAATTGACCCCAGGACACAAGGGAAGGTAGAAATGTATTTTTCATGCTAATATATCACCTACTTTTGGAGACTTCATTTATACCCCAGGATTAACCTCTCACCAGGGTGATTAACAATACAAACATCTACTCCCCACAGATCCTTGTCTTTATCCATGGGACTGTGGTCTGAACTGATGACCTTAAAAAGTCCATAAAATGTATTTTGACAAAAAGTTTGCTAAAATATCTGTAAGAATTAAGATTAGTCAGACTTTCCCATCTTAAACTTGAATTATCTCTGAAGTTGTGTTTCTCTATCAAACCAAATTTAACAGTATACTAAAAGGATCTTTCACCATGATCAAGTGAGATTTAGCTCTGAGATGCAAGGATGGTTCAACACACAAATCAATAAATGTGATACATAACATTAACAGAATTAAAGATAAAACCATATGATCATATAAACAGAACATGAAACGGTGAAAGAAAAGTCTTTTTAATAAATGATGTTGGAAAACTGAATATCCACATGCAGAAGAATGAAATTGGATCCTTATGACACTCAATATATGAGAATTAACTCAAAATGGATTAATGACTTAAACATATGACTGCAAACTGTAAAACTATTAGAAGAAAATATAGGAGAAAAGTTCCATGACGTTGGTATGGGCAAGATTTCTTGTATATGATCCTCAAATCACAGACAGCAAAACCAAAAGTAAACAAATGGGATTGCATCAAATTAAAACATTTCTCCGCAGCAAAGGAAACAATAGAGTGAAAAGACAACCCACAGGTTGAGAGAAAATATTTGTAAATGATACATGTAAGTGGCTAAAATTCAAGCTATATAAGGAACTTAAACAAATCAATAACAAGGAAACAAATAACTCAATTTTAAAATGAGCTAAGCACCTGAATAGACATTTCTCAAAAGAAGACGTACAAATGACAAACAGGTACAAGAAAAAATGCTCAACATCACTAGTCATCAGGGAAATACAAATTAAATTCACAATAAGATATCACCTCACACTTGTTAGAATGCCTACTACAGAAAAGATAAGAGATAAATGTTGATGAAAATGTGGAAAAGGAGAACTCATACACTTTTGGTGGAAGCGTAAATTAGTACAGTCATTAAATACACTGTGGAGGTTTCTGAAAAATTCTGAAAAAATTAAAAATAGAACCGTTGTATGACCCAGCAATCCCTTGTCTGTGTATATATTCAAAGGAAATAAGAAGAGAGATCTACACTTTCATGTTCATTGTAGTATTATTCACAATAGCCAAGATGTGGAATAAACCTAAGCATCCCTCAGCAGATGAATGGATAGAGAAAATGTGGTATATATGCATAGTGGAATACTATTCAGCCTTAAAGAAGAAGGAAATTCTGTTGTTTGCAACAACATGGATGAATCTGGAGGACCTTATATTAACTGAAATAAGTCAGGCACAGAAGGACAAATACCTCATGGTCTCCCTTCTACATGAAATCTACAAAGTCAAACTCACAGAAACAGAGAATAGAATGGTGGTTACCAGGGGCTGGAAGAAAGGGAGAAAATTGAGAAGATATTGGTCAAAGGTTACAAAAATTACAGTTAGACAAGAGAGATAATTCAAGAGATCTATTATATGAAAGGGTGACTATAATTAATGAATTGTATATGTGAAAATTGCTAAAAGAGTAGATCTGAGTGTTCTCATCACAAAAACATGATAAGTATGTGAGGTAATGGTTCATGTAAATTAGCTTGATTTTGTCATTCCATGATGTATACATATGTCAAAACATCATGTTATACATCATAAATATATACAATTTTAATTTGTCAATTAAAAATCATAATAATGTAGGCTAACTAAAAAATGCTACATTTTTCCAAAAGTTTTCTTTTCAAGACACATATACTTACCTTTTAGCATATGCTGCTGTTTGATGAAAAAAATAAACGATTAAGAGAACCCCTCCTGCTGCCAAGAAAAAATAGGGTGGCATTTACTGTGAACTACAGATAGTAGACAACGTAGTTCAGAGAAAAAGTGTTCTCGGTTGGTCAGGGAGAAAGTGGAGCTGAAGTTAGGGTCTGAGTTTGATAAATGACACAGAAGTGCCTTCAACACACTCCTAGGGATGAGAAATAAATATATCAGCCTGATTTCTGTGGAAGCTTCAAAAAAGGGAGTAGTGGCAGACAAAGTTGTTGGGCAGTAATTTGGTCAGGAAGGATATTGAAACGCTACATAACCATTTCAACGTCATTTTGTAACATCACGCCACCTTCCTTCTCCTTAAATCAGGCTCAGCATTGGCAAGATTTTGATGATCTATATAAAACACCCCTACTAAGGGTGGTACCTATTGAAACAATTGCCTGGGATGGTAAGAGGGCGATTTGGAGGCTGTAGATTGGAGAATGAAAGTTGAGGGCAGGCTGCTGGGAGGACCACTGTTGGTAATGGGGAATTTAGGGATGTTGCAGAGAAATCAGAATTTTCTGGTGAGTTATGGAGACTAGGAATTGGGGCTTTAGATGTTTGGTGAAATGGAGAGCATTTGTCCCCAAGGGGATGGAAAGGTGGGCTCCATTTGGCTCTTTTGGTTTCTGCTCCGTTTATGGTCAAGCCAACAGTTCAGGAAACCGCCTTTGAAAAAATACAATTTCCTTAGGGGCCTGCTATGTCTTGCTCATTTCAGGCTGCTCTCCAGTAAATCTGTAATTGGTTCTCAGGGGCCTCTCCCTTTGTGGCAATTTCCTGCCCTCCCATGTGATAGAGGGAAAGGACTGCGATGAAAGGACAGAATAGCCTGAGAGCTAGAAAAGGGGATGGAGGGTGGAAGAGAAAATGGCTCAGGAGTGGAGGGTAACAAGGGTGACATTTGTAATCAATGTTCTACGTTACTTCAGGTTGAGCTCAAGCAGGGAGGGAGCTGAAGGTAGGAAATTCCAACATTCTGAAGTCTTCAGCAAATCTTAGCAGATCATCTCCTCCTCACAGTCCTGTCTTTAGAGAACAGGGTCGATATTTCGGGTACGTTTATTTTTGTAAAATTCTTTACAGCTTAGTTCACAGATTCTTTAAAAAAGTTAAATGGCTGGTTTTTATAGCTGTTTATCCTGTAATCACTAGCAACTTTCAATTAACCCAGAGAGTCAAAAAGTCTTTTATTAAAAATCATTTCAAGAAGTCCCGCAGTATTTCTCTAGAATACCAGTGCTGCTCTTTTCTCCATTGGATGTTTTTAAAAGTTGATTTCTAATCCTTCTGGGTGCATACTGACTTATTTTTTTAATTCTCTCTTCTCTTTTGGAGATGGGGAACAGTAGATATTCATGCTCCCCAAGCTTCAGTTGATATGTTACAGAGTAGGAAGAAGCGAGACACCCTCATACTAATGTTTTCATGGTGGAAAGTTTTCCTCCTGCTATCCCATGGCTTGACAAAACTGGGATATACTTAAAATTATACTGTTTTCTTTTAAAACCTTTTAAGTATATTTTAATGTTTTATTATGGAGTAATTACTGAAGAGACTTGAGGAGAATTAACAGATTAAAAAAATCAAACTGAATTAACTTTTTGGTTTTCTGCTTACAAACATAACATGTTTGTTTAGCAGACATTTCAAAATATGAGAATAAATTTTTTTCTAATACCTAAAGATGAATTAAAATGTACAGTTTTGTATATATTTTTTAAAATATTTTTTCCTGGAATATTCTTTGAATTGCTCGTTTTAATTAAGGACTCTATGCTATCTCAGAGTCTGGGTTGAATGAGGGTTATGGTTTTTACTTAGAATTGAGTGTGTGGCTGATTGTTCGTTAGACAACAAACAGGCATTTTGCACTATTCTTACTTCTCTACCAGTCAGTATGGTGAAATTCCTGTTGATTTCAAACTCTTCCTGCAGTTTTTTGAGTTTTCCAATTCCAAATTCAGCTCTATTCCTTGGAGTTTTCAACTCTAAATTCATCAACTTCCTCTATTCCCTGATTCCCCTCTGTCTTTAAGGGAATAACAGCCTCTCATATATCCTACTGTTTCTGTGTTTTTCCCATTTCTTTTCTTTTCATATCTACTTTTACAGATTTAGGGGTACAAGTGCAGTTTTGTTACATGAATATATTGTGTAGCGATTGAGTCTGGGCTTTTAGTGTAACCATCACACAGATAGTGTGCATTATACCCATTAGGTAATTTCTCATCCCTCACCCCTTCCCACCTCACCTTTCCAAGTCTCCAATGTCTATTATTCTGAATTCTGTGTTCATGTGCACACATTATTTAGCTCCCACTTATAAATGAGAATATGCAATATTTGACTTTCTGTTTCTGAGATATTTCACTTAAAATAATAGCCTCCAGCTCCAATGATACTCTTGATTTCCAGGGGAGGTAGTGGTCATGAGCTATTTATTATTAGAGGTATTCTTGCCTGATTTACATGCTCACCTCTCTCCTGGCAGGAATCCTATAGAAAGACTCCAAGCCTCAGAATGAGTTTGGACCAGATAAAATAATCTAGAGTTAAAGATGGCCCACATAGGGAGTGCCAGATTCACTCACAAGGAAATGCAGATGGGATCAAAGGGTAAGAGAATAGCTTTAGAGACGGGAGTTGGAGGGCAATAACAGAACCTGTGGAATTTTGTAGTCTATGAAGAACAGCATTCTTCTCTGATCAATTCATATGGGTTTAGGTTAAGGAAGACATGGTGTTAAACATTAAGTATTCATTGAGAATATATCTTTTTGTAAGACTTCGGTACAGTAGCACTTATAAAAATTTAAATCCTGTGCTAAATGAACTTTTAGTCTTTTGGAAAAGAGAAAGTGCATACCATAAGATAATTAATGATGAACTCAAGGCAGCATGTATTTGCACATCAGG
Source organism: Homo sapiens (assembly GCF_000001405.40). Classification (NCBI taxonomy): domain Eukaryota; kingdom Metazoa; phylum Chordata; class Mammalia; order Primates; family Hominidae; genus Homo; species Homo sapiens. Next base: position 739,011 of record NT_167249.2, on the reverse strand, counting down.
TATCAGATGAGTGGGGCCATCCCTTCTTTCACTCTTGTTACCTTGGATGTAGCTTCCATAATACTATTTAAATTTAGGTTGAAACATGCCACTGTACTGTTTAAAAGCCTTCAGCTGTGCCTTGCTGCCTATAGAATGAAGCTCTAGTTCCTTCTTGTGACAAGCAAGGGTCCCCAGACTCTGATCCTGGCCCCTTTCTCTCCCTGTCTTCCCCCATTCTTCACCTCAATCCTAATTCTCCTTCAGAATCGAGGGGATTGTTTGAGCTACCCTTGGCTACTTACCCCCTGCTACCTCTTTCTCCTCCTCACATCCAATGTTGTTTCTTGCCTCAGTGTGTACTCATGGTTTTCCTTTTACCTAAAATGCCCTCACCTCCATTCTTTCCATTTTCCACTGCAATCACTCATCAGTTCAGCATCACTTCCTCCTAGTACTATTTCTTTCAGGTTGAATTCATTAACTGTCTTTTGGCGTATTGCAATTTTCTGTTGATATGTCCATCTGTCACACAAGAGTGTAAACTCCTTAAGAGTATGGACCAGTTTTGTTTGGCCCACTATCCTCAGAAACAGATGTAATATCTTCTATACACTAGATCCTTAGTACATGATTGGGAGAGAAATAAAGGGCTCTATTAGTCAAGGGGGATTCTTGGTAGAGATAAGTTCTTAAGCTGGGTCTTCGAGGATTTAACGTTAGCAATGAGCAGAGGTATGGAAAATGGGATTCCATTCAAAAGGCAGATTTGGTCTTAGGCAAAACTACAAAACAGTGTGCCGTGAAGGCTCCCAGCACTGTGGTCCCTGAGGCATCCAGTTTTTCACCTCTTAGGAAACTGATGTTCTAGACTATTTGTATTAAAGATAACTTACATTTTTTGTGATAATAAATATAATGTATATTTATTAATCCCATATTCTAGAAAGTAACACTGTTAGTATTATGTATTTATATTTATTTATATGATATCTGCTTTTTTTCTCTACCTTTCTCAACTGTTTCTAATCATTCCCTGTATTCTCTCTCATTGTCTTCAGTTAATAAACACATATTGCTTTGAATAGCATATGAAAACCTTCCAGCAGGTATGACAGAGCCATTTTCAGATATTTAGAAGTGTCATGCTCAATTACAACTCTTTGCTTTTGCATATGCTTTCCTGCCAGGGATGCCCTGCCTGGTCTGGTTTCCTGTCTTTTGCCTGGCCAACTCTTTTTTTTTTTTTTTTTTTTTTTTTTTTTGAGATGGAGTTTCGTTCTATTGCCCAGGCTGGGGTGCAGTGGCGCGATATCGGCTTACTGCAAGCTCCGCCTCCTGAGTTCACGCCATTCTTCTGCCTCGGCATCCCGAGTAGCTGGGACTACAGGCGCCCGCCACCACGCCCGGCTAATTTTTTTTGTATTTTTAGTAGAGACGGAGTTTCACTGTGTTAGTCAGGATGGTCTCGATCTCCTGACCTCGTGATCCACCCGCCTCAGCCTCCCAAAGTGCTGGGATTACAGGCGTGAGCCACCAAGCCCGGCCTCCTGGCCAACTCTTAATTGGCCCTCAAAACTTAGCCTACTTGCTTCTATCTTCAGAAAGCCTTCCCCGACCTTGATCCCACACCTTCTGCCCCACAACCCCAGGCTGGGTTTGGTCCTTCTCTGCTCCCATGGCACCTACTTCCTTCCCTATTACCATTTACCACATTTTCACTACCAACTCCTGAATGACTTGATGAAACTACTATTTAAGGAAGGCAATAAGTGAAGAATATATAAGAATTATCCGAGGAACAGTTGGTAAGGTATCACTGATTAGGAGATGGGGAATGAAAGGGGCGGTTGAGATAATGAGAAGAATGAGATAGTGACCATGGGGATTAGACAGAATTCTCAAACCACTCATAGAGGAATTGGTTGTGATTGAGAAAGATAGAAGAGTTTGCAGTTGTGGGCCATGTCTATATAGCACACATTTGGAGAATATTATACTGGTGCACAAGAAGGAGGCTATGGCTGACTATACAGATAAGAATGATAGAGGTGATTATGCGAAAGAGGTAGTAGATTGAATTAATGGGGTAAAGGTCTTTGAAAGACTAAAATTATGAGTTTGGATAAACTCTTCTGAGCGTTAAAGAATATGCACAATTAAGGAAGGCAGGGAAGGATGAGAGTTGAGGAAGGAATGACAACTAAGAAGGGGGATAGTTGAAGACTTGCGTGAGCGAGTCTTGTTTTAGAGACTCATTTTTGTCTTTTTTGTTTTGTTTTGTTTTAGCTCTAATAACGTTAGGCTTGGTATAGAAGATGCAGAGACATGCTAAAATTTCTCCCCCAATTATTGCCAAGCAGAAACTTGGACGATCGACATGGAAATTGTCTCCACAGGAAACGAAACTATTACTGAATTTGTCCTCCTTGGCTTCTATGACATCCCTGAACTGCATTTCTTGTTTTTTATTGTATTCACTGCTGTCTATGTCTTCATCATCATAGGGAATATGCTGATTATTGTAGCAGTGGTTAGCTCCCAGAGGCTCCACAAACCCATGTATATTTTCTTGGCGAATCTGTCCTTCCTGGATATTCTCTACACCTCCGCAGTGATGCCAAAAATGCTGGAGGGCTTCCTGCAAGAAGCAACTATCTCTGTGGCTGGTTGCTTGCTCCAGTTCTTTATCTTCGGCTCTCTAGCCACAGCTGAATGCTTACTGCTGGCTGTCATGGCATATGACCGCTACCTGGCAATTTGCTACCCACTCCACTACCCACTCCTGATGGGGCCCAGACGGTACATGGGGCTGGTGGTCACAACCTGGCTCTCTGGATTTGTGGTAGATGGACTGGTTGTGGCCCTGGTGACCCAGCTGAGGTTCTGTGGCCCCAACCACATTGACCAGTTTTACTGTGACTTTATGCTTTTCGTGGGCCTGGCTTGCTCGGATCCCAGAGTGGCTCAGGTGACAACTCTCATTCTGTCTGTGTTCTGCCTCACTATTCCTTTTGGACTGATTCTGACATCTTATGCCAGAATTGTGGTGGCAGTGCTGAGAGTTCCTGCTGGGGCAAGCAGGAGAAGGGCTTTCTCCACATGCTCCTCCCACCTAGCTGTAGTGACCACATTCTATGGAACGCTCATGATCTTTTATGTTGCACCCTCTGCTGTCCATTCCCAGCTCCTCTCCAAGGTCTTCTCCCTGCTCTACACTGTGGTCACCCCTCTCTTCAATCCTGTGATCTATACCATGAGGAACAAGGAGGTGCATCAGGCACTTCGGAAGATTCTCTGTATCAAACAAACTGAAACACTTGATTGAAGGAGAGTAATGAAGATGTTATTTTGGACTTCGGACACCTCCACTGGGGACTCTTCCAGGATGGGTTGGAGAGGAGTAACTTTGTCTTATTCGACCATTCTCTTTGAACTCTTCTGCAGTTATACTAAAAATGAAAATGATAGGGCAACAATTTTTTAACTTTTATTTTAAGTTCAAGGGTACATGTGCAGGTTTGTTACATAGGTAAACTTGTGTCATGGGGGTTTACTGTACAGATTATTTCATCACCCAGGTATTAAGCCTAGTACTCATTAATCATTTTTCCTGATCTTCTCCCTCCTCCCAACCTCCACCCTCAAGTAGGATTCAGTGTGTTGTTCCCCTCTATGTATCCATATGTTTTCATAATTTAGCTCCCACTTATGAGTGAAGACATACGGTATTTGATTTTCTGTTCCTGTGTTAGTTTGCGAAGGATAGTAGCCTCCAATTCCATCCATGTCAAATAATCAAAATTATTTAAACTTTGATTAGTTCTTTATTAAATATGTCATAAATATTTAAAAATAATACAGCAATACCAAAATAAACCTAGAAATATTGTTTTTTATATTATTGTTGTATGACATTTAAAAATTTCTTTCTATGTGTATTTATATTTATACATACAAGTTGGATCATGGAGTTTGTAATCTGGTTTTCCACTGAACACTGTGTCACGAACAACTTTTTCTATTAACAAGCATCTATTTCTTTATTCTTCTGGGCTTCATCGTATGGCTAAACATGATTTGTTATTCTATTTTGGGAATTTTTAGTTGTATTCTATTCTTTTACTGTACATTGTTTACATCTGGATTTTCCTGTAATAAACTTTTAGCACCTAAATTGCAAGATCTAAGGATATGTGTTTTTAAAAATCTAAAGCTGAATTCCTTTTCTTTTAAACTTCTTTTCTTGTAGAACATTTCAAACATACATAAAAGAGAAGAGCACAGTGAACCCCCATGTACTCCATGTAGCCACCATCCAGCTTCAACATCAACATTTTGCTAATCTTATTTTAATTAGCTACAGCTCCTTGTTTGTTAGTTTTCATGGAAAATTTTAGGGCAAATTCCAGATGTTGTATAACTATTATGTTGTGTAAGTTATGTATGTACATATTCCACATATGTATTTAGTATAATCTGTGACTAATAAAGACATTTTAAAAAACCATGCCCACAATACCATTATGATACTTAGCACAATTATCAGTATTTCCTTTATATCATCTAATACACAAGCCATGTTCAAATTTCTCCATTGATCTTTAAGTAATTTCTTAAAATTAGGATCTAAACAAGGTTCACACAATGTATTTTGTTATTGTCTTTCCAGTCCCTTTATAACATAGCAGACCCCACTTTTTTGTCATGCCATTGACTTAAGTTGCTATGTTATTTTTATTGCATCATATCCTGAGACACATGATATTTAGTTGTCCCACTCTTAGAGATGCTATTTATATTATTGTCCAGTGAGTTGAGGTGGTATCAGTCAGATCTATCAATTACTCAGTTTCTAATTAACGTTTTCCCTAATACTTTAATCATCCATTGTGGAAAGGTGATGATTAACTTTTATTCCAAATGTTTTTATGTTCCTTTTTCAATTCCAAAATTCACCATTTTAATAAATGGCTCTCTAGTACATTATATATCAGTCAGCCAGGAATCACACTTAGCTATTAGAAACTGTCAATACAAAGTTTTAAAAGTAAAAATTGTCATGTAAGTAAAAGTTAATTTTTCTCTCAAGTAAAAGAAGTCTGGAGGTAAGTAGTACAGAGAGGATGTGGTTGGTTCCCAGGGTTATATAGACCAGAGCTCTGTTTACTTAGTGTATATGTCAGGAGAACAGCGTGGGGGAAAGTTCCCCCATGATGAAATCACTTCCCTCCAGGTCCCTCCCTTGACATGGGAGATTACAATTGAGATGAGATTTGTGTGGGGACATAAAACGAAACCATATCAGGCTCTATTCTGTGTGTCTGTGTGCATATGTAACTAAAATCAGGAGTGAGTAATTGAGAGAAGTGAATTTTCTTGGTGTGGTTTCAGTTGCAAACAACATAAGCTACCCTGGCTAATTTAAGCTGCTGTTTTTTCTTATATAATATTTGATAGCTCACACACTATCCTGTAGGTAAAGAGAGTCAGACTCTGAATTATTCTGCCAGGAATGAGATGCAGAAACACAGAGGGTCTCTTGTTGGCGTAAATATCACTGCCATCATTACTCAACCCTAGAGTACTTCTAGATCCATCACTGATGCTCCAGAAGGACCAGATTCCTCTGTTTCATGCAGAGAAGACTGAATTCCACATGCATAGTCTTGCTGATTGGTAGGACCTAATTTCCATGGTTGTTACCAGCTGTTAAGGAATCTAGGAAATGATCACAATGTAGTGGGGGTGTTCACAGATGTAAAAGCACTATAATGAATGTCTACTCTTGGCACAGTGCGAAAGGATAATGTTAGGTACTAATTTTTTTTTCTTTTGACATTTTAAAATACAAACATTTCAAGCATATACTAAATACAAAAATTTCCTTTGTCCACTTTTTAATGGGGTTATTTATTTGTTTTTCTTGTTGAGTTGTTTAAGTTCCTTGTAAGTTCTGGATACCAGTCCCGTATTAGGTGCATAATTTGCAAATATGTTTTCCCATTCTGTAGGTTGTTTGTTTACTCTGTTGATTATTCCCTTCACTGTGCAGAAGCCTTTTAGTTTAATTAAGTTCTGTTTGTCTATTTTTATTTTTGTTGCATTTGCTTTTGAGGTCTTAGTCACAAATTCTTTGCCTAGGCCAATGTTCAGAAGAGTTTTTCCTAGGTTTTCTTCTAAAATTTTTATAGTTTCAGGTCTTACATTTAAAAGAAGACATACAATCAGCCTACAAAACCTACAAACATATAAAAAAAGCTCAACATTGCTAGTCATCAGAGAAGTGCAAATTAAAACCACACTGAGATATCATCTCATACCAGTAATAGTAACTATTATTAAAAAGTCAAAAACAAGAGATGTTGGTGAGAATGCAGAGAAAAGGGAATGCTTATATACTGTTGATGAGAATATAAATTAGTACAACCTCTATGGAAAACAGTATGAAGATTTCTTAAAGGGCTAAAATTAGAACTACCCTTTGATTCAGCAATCCCAATACTAGATATCTACCCAAAGGAAAATAAATCATGGTACAAACAAGACACCTGCATGTGTATGTTAATTGCAGCACTTTTCACAAGAGCAAAGTTATGAAACCATCCTAAGCATATGAAAGCATACACACACACACACACTTACATAAGCATACGTAATTAGATATTTTTTCTTTTATTTTACTTTCACTTATTTCTTCTTCAATGCTCTTCTGTTCTTAAAGGTGGATTGAAATGTCTCACTTGTATAATTTTATTACTCTCTAAAAAATTTATTTTATCACTTTTTACCAGGCAAGTCTATTGGCAATAAATTCCCTCAATTTTTGTTCCTCTGAGAAGGTTTATTTCTCATTCACTTTTGAAGGATAATTTCATGTAGTGCAGAATTCTAGATTGGTTTTTCTTCTATCAAAAATTTTAAATATTTCACTCTATTTTCTTCTAACTTTTGTAGCTTCTGCGAACTCAGATGTCATCTTTTCTTCCCTAAAGGTATGGTATTTTTTATCCTCTGGCTTCTTCATGATTTAAAAAAAATCTTTGACTTTCTGATTTTTGTTTAATTTTCCATAGTTTAAAAATGATATTCCTAGCCATAGTTTTTCTGGCATTTATGCTTCTTGGTATTCCTTGAGCCTCCTAGATTTGAAGTTTGATGTCTCATATTAATTTGGGGAAATTTTCAGTTATTGCTTCAAATATTTCTTCTGTTCCTATCTACTTTTCTACTCCTTCTGATATTCCCATTGTATGTATTACATATTTTGGAGTTTTTCCAGAATCCTTGAATATTCTTCTCTGCTTTAATAAGTCTTTGTTTTCTTCGCTTTTCAGTTTTTAAAGTTCCTATTGATATATTCCCCTGCCTAGAGGGTTTGGTGGTCGTTTTCTTCCTCTTAACTTTATTAAGGTATGACTGACACATGAAGTTGTATATATTTATGATGTTTACTGTGATGTTTTGAGATATGTATACATTGTGAAACGATTACCACAATTAAGCCAATTAACACATCCATCACCTCACATAGTTACAACCTTTTGTATGTGTGTGGTGAGAACATTTATGATCTTCTAGTTTAGAAAATTTCAAGTATATAATACAGTATTGTTAACTATAATCACCACGCTATATGCACATTATATAGGTCACATTTTTAAATCCACTTCTCTGTTTTGATGGACCTTTGGGCTAATTCTGTATCTTGGCTATTGAGAATCATGCTGCAATGAACACAAGAGTGCAGATATGTCTTTGAAATACTAATTTTTTTTTTATTTTTCCATAGGTTATTGGGGTACAAGTAGTATTTGGTTACATGAGTAAGTTCTTTAGTGGTGATTTGTGAGATTTTGGTGCACTCATCACCCAAGCAGTATACACTGCACCGTATTTGTAGTCTTTTATCCTTCACCCCCCCTCCCACTCTACACCCCAAGTCCCCTAAGTCCACTGTATCATTCTTATGTATTTGCATCCTTATAGCTTAGCTCCCACATATCAGTGAGAACATACAATGTTTGGTTTTGAAATACTGATTTTATTTCCTTTAGACATATACCCAGAAGTGGGATTACTGAATCATATGGTATTTCTACCTTTATGTTTTTTGAGGAATCTCTATATGTTCCCCATAATGGCTGTACAAATGTAAATTCCCAAAAACAATGTACAAAGGTTCTCTTTTTATATCCTCATTAATACTTGTTATTTTTTGTCTTTTTGATAAAAGCCATTCTAACAGATGTGAAGTGATATCTCGTGGTTGTAGTTTGTATTTCCTTTGATTTAATGATGTTGAACATTAAAAAATACACTTGGCCATTTGTGTGGAAATATCTATTTCATTGAAAAAATGTCTATTTAGATTCTTTCCTCATTTTTAAACTAGGCTATTTGTTTTCTTGCTATTGAGTTTTTAAAAAATGTATATTTTGGATATTAACTCTTTATGAAATATTGTTTTCCCATTTCATAGGTTATCTCTTCATTCTGTTGATGTTTTCTTTTGTTAAATAGGAACTATTTAGTTTGGTAGAATCGTATTTATTTTTGATTTTGTTTCCTGTGCTTTACGTATGATATTTTAAAAATATCATTTCCCAGACCACCATTGAGAAGTTTTTCCCTGTTTTCTTCCAGTAGTTTTAGTTTCAGGTCTTGCCTTTCAGTTTTTAATCCAATTAAATTGATTTTTGCGTATTGTTTGAGACAATGGTTTAATTTCATTCTTCTTTAGGTGGAATATTAAGTTTTTCCAACACAATTTATTGGAGAAACTATTCTTTTCCCATTGTATGTTCTTGGCACCTTTGCCAAAGACCAACTGACCATAAGTACATAGATTTATTTCTGGGCTCTCTATTCTGTTCCATTGTTCTATGTATCTGTTTTTATGCCAGTATCATACTGTTTTGATTACTATAGCTTTGTGGTATATTTTGAGTTCAGGTAGTTGTGCCTCCAGCTTTGTTCTTTTTGCTCAAGATAGCCTTGGCTATTTGGAGTCTTTTGTGGTTCCATAAGAATTTTAGTACTTTTGCTATTTCTGTAAAAAATTCCATTAGAATATTGATAGGGATTGTAAAGAATCTACAGTTTGCTTAGGAAAGTATGAGCATTTTGACAATATGAATTCTTCCAATCCATGAATAAAGAATATCTTTCCATTTATTTGTATCTTTTTCAATTTCTGTCATCCATGCCTTATAGTTTTCAAGGTACAGATCTTTCACCTTCTTGGTTAGATTTATCCCTAAGTATTTTATTTACCTTTGATATTATTGTAAATAGAATTGTTTTCTTGATTTCCTATTCAAATAGATCATTGTTGTAAAAATGCAACTGGCTTTTGTAAGTTAATTTTGTATCCTGTGAACTTAACTAAATTTATTAGTTCTCACAGTTTTTGGTGTAGTCATTAGGGTTTTCTAGATGTAAGATCCAGTCATCTGCAAACAGAAAATTTTACTTCTTCCTTTTTAGTCTGGATGCCTTTTATTTATTTCTTTTGTGTAATTGCTATAGCTAGGAATGTCAGAATTATATTGAAGAGAAATTGTGAAAGTGGGCCTCCTTGACTTGCTCCTGATATCGGAAGAAAAGCTTTTAGCTTTCCAACACTGATAATGAGAATAGCAGTGGACTTGATATACATTATCTTTATTACATTAAGCTATGTTTCTTCTATACCTAATTTGTTGAAAGTTTCTTTTAGTTATGAAAGAATATTGAATTTTATCAAATGCTTCTTCTGCACCTATTATCATATGGTTTTTATCCCTCAGTATGTTAATGTGGCATATCATATTTATTAATTTGTGTATGTTAACCCATTCTTGCATCCTAAGGATGAATCCCACTTAGTCATGGTGTATGATCATTTTAATGTGCTGTTGAATTCATTTTGCTAGTTTTCATTGAGGATTTTTGCATCTATGTTCATCAGGGATATTGGCCTGTAACTGCATTTCCTTATAGTTGCGTTGTCTGGCTTTGGTATTAGGGTAATGCTGACCTCATAAAGTGAGTTTGAAAGTATTTCTTCCTTTTCATATTTTTGAGTGAGTTTAAGAAGATTGGCATTAATTATCCTATAAATGTTTGGTAGTATACATCAATAAAGCCATCAGATCCTGGGCTTTTTTGAATAGGAGACATTTTATTACTGGTCAATCTCAGCCCCAGGCTGGCAGCTTTTGCCGTGGTCTACTGGAACATGAAAAAGTCTGTCTGAGGCTTCCCTGTTGAAGAAGCATATGATAGTCACAAGGAGCAATTAAGGGAGGAGAAAAAGAAATAGAGAGAGAGACTTACTCAGCTCTCAGCTATTCCGTGACCAGACTGAAGTCATTCCAGCAAAGGTCAGAGACATTATGGATCAGAGTCAACCATTCTCTGCTGTGTTTTTCCAAATTTCTTACCCAACAAAGCATGTAACTTAAGTGTTTTAAGCGATTGAATTTTGGGGTCCTAATGTGTTATGCACTAATAGTTAACCAGAACCCCATGTGCTCTTCTACAGTTCACAAACTCTCTGAAGTTTGAATTATGTGGCAGATTCTCACCACCAGAAATGACAGAAAAAACATATTGTATAAAAATATGCATCAAATATATTACTGATAGTGTGGGACAGTTGAGATTAGGAGTTGCCATCTCCACACACACATTGTTGTTTTGTTTTATTATAAACTAAACTGGAATTGAGGGACCAAAGAAGGTGAAGTTAGAAGACAAAAGAAGCATGGAGAGAAGTCAGAATAAAATTGTTTAGATTTACAAAAGTGCATGCAGGGACCTTGAAGGGTCAGTCCACCAGCTTAAAATGCCTTTTCATAGTATTTTCTGTCTATTCTTTAAATATTTATAAATTATAGAATCCACCATTTTTTCAGGGACAGAAGCCATTTATAGGAACTTAAAAAGTGAGGAACATAGCAGTTCATGTCTAGAAATACTTCAATAATTATGACTTCTATGCCTTTGCTTAGTATGAGTTTGGTGCCAAGTAAGAAAAAGAAAATAAAATTTTGATAAAGTCGTCATCTTCCGCAATTAAAGGCTGAGGGAACAATAACATCCTAACGAGATTGAAAGAGTCTTAAGAGCTTTGTTAAATTATCTCCGATTTTTAATATTTTAAGTAATCATTGAGGGTGTGGACAGTTGACTAATAAGAGATATCTGGAGACAGAGGTGCCAAAACTATTTAGATGAACTGTCAGGGTTTTTGTTGTTGTTGTTATTTAGTGATTACAATGTCATTTGCTTTAATTACTTGTCTCCTTGTTTGAAGAATAAGAAATCAAGACCCACCCCTTAAAAATTCTCCTTAACTCATACGTCAGTTAGCATATTCTTTTCCAGTTGAGTAACTATGGCCCTAAAGTAAAATCCTCAAAATATCAAAGCATAATAATTTTATTTATAATATTATAATGCATTAACCTAGAGGGACCAGATAGATAAATAGACCCAAGTATTATCCATATATTTGATATATGGGAAAAACAGGCATATTTCTATACCCAATTTCATCATAAGAACATATAAAAAACCTAACATCAATTTTATCAACTGATATCTTCAAAACATAGTCAGCAGTAGAGTTCCATGGCTAGTATCCCATTCATTCAAATGTCCCTTATATAATCCAGGAAAGCATTGTTAAATACAACTACAGCATATTTTTCCATATATTTTTGTTTTATCCAGTTCCCTCTGTTGTACATTTCTAAATAATTTAAGAAACAATGTAATTACAAACTCATCTTTTTAATTGTTTATTTATGCTTCAGAAGAGTTCTTCAAGATTTCTTTAGGCCAAAGCCACCTTTTCATTGCTCTATTAAAGGCCCCTTTCACTTCCTTGTTCCTCAAAGTGTAGATCAGTGGGTTTAGTACTGGAGTGACCACAGTATACATGATGGCAGTGATCCGGTCCTGGTCCATGGAGGTCCCTGAGGCATGATGAATATAGGTGAAGAGAACAGGTGCATACAAAAGAATAACTACCATGAAGTGGGAGGCACAAGTGGACAGTGCTTTGCGGAGCATGCTAAAAGAATGAGTCTTGAAGAAGAGATGGGTGATAATGTAGAAATAGGAGAGTAATGTGAGAAAGAAGGGGCCCATGGCGATTGTCCCTGTGACAGTACTGAGCAGCCACTGATTAAGCTCAGCTTTAGCAATGGCTTCACATCACAGAAGAAGTGATAGATACGGTTAGAACCACAGAAGTTCAAGCGAGAGGTCATTAGGGAGTGCAGCAGGGCATGGAAAAAACCAATCATCCAGATTGTGATGGCCATCTGGGTACAGAGCTGAGGGTTCATAATGACAGTGTAGCGAAGTGGCTTGCAAATAGCCACAAAGCGGTCAAATGCCATCACGGCCAACAACATGGCCTCTGTGCTGCCCAGGAAGTGGAAGAAATGGAGTTGGCTTATGCATCCCAAGAAAGAAATTGCTTTGTGTGCAGAGAGGAAGTTCTGCAGCATTTTTGGCAGTGTTACGCTGGAGTAGCAGATGTCCAGGCAGGACAGGTTTCCCAGGAAGAAATACATAGGGGAATGGAGTCTAGGATCAGAGATGACAATCATCAGAATGGCTCCATTCCCAGCCACACTGATGAAGTAGATGGTAAGGAAAACAACGAAGAGAAAAGGCTGCAGTTCTTGAATGTCTGTCACTCCCAAAAGGAGAAATTCAGTGACTGAGGTTGTATTCAGCATTGCTTCAGACAAAAGACAAAATAATGTATGGAACACTAATCACAATCAGAATCCTTCCAGCTCAGAATTTTCTTACCAAGCCAAGAATATCTGGAGGGAGAGTATTGTTGTTTTGCATGATTCAACCTCACAAGTTTTACATTTTTGGCTTTTAGATGGCTAAATATTAAAGATATATATATATATATCTGTTATGATCTCTGACACAACTATTTTTTTATTATGTTTTTCATTAATATATTTCTTTCTCCCAGGAATCAGAAAACGTTGCTAGCCTACAGTCTTCTCTGGCTGTGAATATTTTCATTCTTTTTTTTTGAGATTCTCACTCTTTCTCCCAGGCTGAAGTGCAGTGGTGTGATCTTGGCTCACTGCAACCTCCGCCTCCTGGGTTCAAGAGAGTCTCTCGCCTCAGCTTCCCAAGTAACTGGGATTACAGGAGTCCACCACCACACCTGGCTAATTTTTGTATTTTTAATAGAGATGGGGTTTCACCGTGTATGCCAGGCTGGTCTTGAATTCCTGACCTCAAGTTATCTGCCTGCCTCGGCCTCCCAAAGTGCTGCGATTACAGGCATTAGCCACATCTCTGGGCCTGTGAATATCTTCATTCGGTCACAGCTTTCCTTTCATCTTCCCAAGCAGCTCTCACAGGGGGCAATTTTTAAGCATACCACATAGCTATCTCTTGGCCTAGTAAGAAACCACCAGTAGGATGTTAACTTAAATAAAAAGACAGGTTTCAATGCATCAAAACCACGATTTTTTTTTTAAATCTTGAAAGAGTAGTAGTAATTGCATTTCCTCATTTTAGAATGTAAATGAATTAGAGATATTCTCTTACTGATCTCTTCCTGACCCACATCCCTGAAATGTCGCAGTGACCTACTGGGGTAAGAAACATGACCACATTAATCACATATTAACCTGAATATTTAAAATTTCATCACTATTATATCTGATGATGAGCTCAGTTTCTTCCTATAATCTGACCCTTTATACATTTTTTGAAATAGAATCCCAAATTATTTTTTTCATTGCAAATGTTATTGTGCTTTTATTCACCAGTTGATCTTAGACTCTTTCTTTCCTAGGAAATCTGTGAATCCCTGGATAAGAATAGTATTTCCTCTGATAGATTCAGTAGTTTCTCTTCTTTTTTCACCAATACTAACCTCTCCTCAAAATATATATTCAGCCTTCTTGAAATTGTCTTCTCTTGTGATCTATTTTCTTAAGTTCTGTTTTTATTTTGCCTGAAATAAACTCACTCATCAGATATTAAGGAATATTCTACCTCAAGTGAAATTCACCTTCTTCTCTTCTAGATCCATTACATTTTCTAGAAAAATTTTTTCTCCATAATTTGCAAAGTACTGGTATTATCTTCATTAGGTTTACTAATAAAAGCAGACATAATATTGTGAAGTAGCTTCTTCTTTGTTCTTTTCATTAGGCTGTAATGGATTAGCTCTTGTATATTGGGAGGGAAGAAGTCAGGATGTGTGGGGAACTTACAGAAGTGAGAGGCACTGAGAGAGCTAGTAGAACTGTAAAGAAATTGAAAAGAGATGCTGACATTGGAGTGCTTCCTATAAAAGGAGTATCATTCAAGGTTTTAGAAACCACTGAGGAGAAAAGAATATAATTTGATGTGACTAGGGTAAAAAAAAATAATGAACAAGGGAACACTTCTAGAGAGCCCATGGGTTTTTTGGCTTCATAGCTGGGAAGAAGTTTTGAAAAACAATCTAACTTTTACTATACCTCCATGAAGGACTGCCTTCAAATAATTCACAATAACTTTCTTGAATGACCATGTATATTTTGTATATTTAAAAATTACCACTCCTGTTTAAAATACAAATTATATTTCAAATATAATTTTTGGTTCTTGGACCCAGAAAACAAAATTGTCCCAAAAATCCATATGGTAAAACATATATTCCTAGCTTCTGAGAAAATTAGCAGTCAGAGTGGTCTGTAGTAAATCGTTTCCTTCACTGAAATTTCACCATTTAGAAATCACATGTTTGCTTTGGATAATGTCTAGAGAACTAGATATGTTGAATTGAGAACAAGGTATGGCAATAAAAACATGGTAAGTCAAGGGCCTTCATATCTCACAAACACAATGAGGAGTCCACCATTAGATAGAAAATGAGATCTAGATACTGGGTGTTTAATACTAGCAAGTAGATAGATCATTCATTAACATATTGAGATTATGTGTAACTTCACAGCCTGTCTCCTAGTTCATTCTCTTACCTGATTGAGTGTTCTGATTCACAGTTAAGGAAGCTATTCATGTTTATATTCCCAGTGATTATAAAAGTTAAAACATATTTGAAGTAATAGTTCATGTTGGGATTGCAGCATAAACTCATCTTTAAAAACCTCTTTCTCTCTTTCTGAAAAATCAGTCTGCCTTTTAATGAGCCACAGGTCTCTAGACATAGAAATCCAAAGGGAGAGTGTCCCCTGGTGTTGAGAAAGATTTTAGGAATTAGCAGGATGCCTTTCCACACCTGTAATATGAATCAGTGGCCTTGGGGAATTCCTGTGTGAAGTTTCATTTGTTTTTTTCATTCTTGTTTTTTTTTTTTCCTTACTAAGTTTGTTCCTTAGTTTTAGAACTATGGCCAACACAGGTCTCAATGGCTTAATATGTTTTCTTAGTCAAATTTCTTTTTATTTCCTAGGACAGAGATATGGATTTACTTTCCCATTTTTGGGACTTTCCTGAAAGAATACCCTGGTATTTTTCAGGAAACCTGTTTTGGCTACTGTTGCTCTGTAGTATAGCTTGAAGTAGGGTAACATGATGCCTCCAAATTTGTTCTTTTTGCTTAGAATTGCTTGGCTATTCAGGTTCTTTTTTGGTTTCACATGAATTTTAAAGTGTTTTTCTAGAATAAACTAGTTTATTCTAGTATTCTAAACTTTAGTTTAGAAACTACCAAGAATGTCTTTGGTAGTTTGATAGAAATAGCATTGAATCTGTAAATTGCTTTGGGCAGTATGGCCATTTAAACAATATGATTCTTACTACCCATGAACAAGAAATCTGTTTCCATTTGTTTGTATTATCTCTGATTTCTCTGAGTAGTGTTTTGTAGTTCTTATTGTAGAGACCTTTCACCTGCCTTGTTAGCTGCATTTCTTGGTATTATATTCTTTCTTTGGCAATTGTGAATGGGATTGTGTTCCTGATTTGTCTCTCAGCTTGACTGTTGTTGCTGTATAGGAATGCTAGTGACTTTTGTACATTGATTTTGTATCCAGAAACTTTGCTGAAATAGTGTATCAGCTGAAGGAGCTTTTTGACCAAGACTATGGGGTTTTCTAGATATAGAATCATGTCATCTGCAAACAGGAATAGTTTTACTTACTCTCTTCCTATAATGCCCATTATTTCTTTCTCTTGCCTAATTGCTCTAGCCAGGACTTCCAATGCTATGTTGAATAGGAGTGCTGAGAGAGGACATCCTTGTCTTGTGCTGGTTTTCCAGAGGAATGCTTCCAGCTTTTGTCTATTCAGTATGATGTTGGCTTTGGATTTGTCATAAATGGCTCCTACTATTTTGAGGTATTTTCCTTAATACCTAGTTTATTGAGAATTTTTAATATGAAGCAATGTTGAACTTAATTGGAAGCCTCTTCTGTTATCTATTGAGATAATCATGTGAGTTTTGTTTTTAGTTCTGTTTATGTGATGAATCACATTTATTAATTTGCAAATGTTGAACCAACCTTGTATCCCAGGGATAAAGCCTACTTAATCATTTTGTATTAGCTTTTTGATGTGCTGCTGAATTCAGTTTGCTAGCATTTTGTTGAGAATTTTTGCATCTATGTTCATTAAGAATATTGGCCTGAAGTTTTCCTTTCATGTATGTGTTTCTTTCAGGTTTTTGTATCAGGATGATGCTGGCCTCATAGAATGAGTTGGGGAGGAGTCACTCCCCCTTTGTTTGGTAGGCTATTTATTACTGATTCAATTTCAGAGCTCGTTATTGGTTTCTTCACAGAATCAGTTTCTTCTTGGTTCAGACGTGGGAGGATGTATGTGTATAGAAATTTATCCATCTCATCGAGGTTTTCTAGTTCATGTGCATATGTGTTCATGATTCATCATGTCTCTGATGATTATTTGTATTGTTGTGGGGTCAATGGTAGCATCCCATTTGTCATTTCTGATTGTGTTTATTTGGATCATCTCTCTTTCCTTCTTTATTGATCTAGCTAGGAGTCTATTCATCTTATTAATTCTCCCAAAAAACAAACTCCTGGATTCGTTTATCTTTTGTATGGTTTTTCTCATCTCAATTTCTTTCAGATCAGCTCTAATTTTGGTTATTTCTTGTCTTCTGCTAGCTTTTGGGTTGGTTTTGTCTTCTGTCTCTAGTTCTTTTACTTATGATGTTAGGTTGTTAATTTGAGATCTTCGTATCTTTTTGATGTGGGCATTTAGTGCTACAAATTTCCCCCTTAATGCTGCCTTAGCTGTGCCCCAGAGATTCTGGTATGTTGTATCTTCATTCTCAATAGTTTCAAAGAACATTTTGATTTCTGCACTAATTTCAGTACTTACCTCAAATTCATTAAAGAGTAAGTTGTTTAATTTCCATGTAATTGCATGGATTGAGTGATTTTTTTAGTCTTGATTTCTATTTTTATTGAGCTGTTGTCCACCAATGTGTTTGGTATGATTTCAGTTCTTTTGCATTTGCTGAGGATTGTTTTATGTCCAATTGTGGGGTCTATTTTTAGAGTACGTGCCTGTGTTGATGAGAAGAATGCACATTCTGTTGTTTTGGGGTGGAGAGTTCTGAGGTCTATCAGATCTATTTGATCCAATGTTGAGTTCAATCTTTGTTTAAATCTTTGTTAATTTTCTGCCTTGATGATCTGTCTAGTACTGTCAGGGGAGTGTTGAAATACCCTACTGGAGACTCCCATTGTGTGGGCATCTAAGTCTCTTTGTAGGTCTCTAAGAACTTGCTTTATGAATCTGGATTCTCCTGCTGTGGGTGCATATATATTTAGGATATCTAGATCTTCCTGTTGAATTGAATCCTTTATCATTAGATAATGCCCTTCCTTGTCTTTTTTCGTTTTTGTTAGTTTAAAGTCTGTTTTTCTCTGAAATTAGAATTGCAACCTCTTCTTATTTCTGATTTTCATTTACTTGGCAGATTTTTTCCATCCCTTTATTTTGAGCCTATGGGTGTCATTGCATGTGAGATGGGTTTCCTGAAGACAGCATACAATTGGATTTTGCTTCTTTACCCAGCTTGCCACTCTGTGCCTTCTAATTGGGACATTTAGCCTGTTTACTTTCAATGTTTGTATTGATATATGTAGATTTAATCCTGTCTTTTTGTTGTTAGCTGGTTATTATGCCTGCTTGTTTGTCTGGTTGCTTTATAGTGTCACGGGTCTGTGTACTTAAATGTGTTTTTGTATTGGCTGGTAATGGTGTTTTCTTTTCATATTTAGTACTCCTTTCAAGATCTCTTGTAAGGTGGGTCTAGTAATACAATCCCTCAATGTTTACTTGTCTGAAAAGATCTTATTTCTCCTTCACAGAGAAAGCTTAGTTTGGCTGGATATAAAATTCTTGGTTAAAGAAATTTTTCTTTAAGAATATCGAATATAGACCTGCAATCTCTTCTGGCTTTCAACATTTCTGCTGAGAGGTCCACTGTTAGCCTCATACGGTTCCCTTTGTAGGTGACCTGCCCTTTCTCTCAAGCTGCCTTTTACATTCTTTCTTTCATTTTGTCCTTGGAAAATAAGATGATTTTGTGTGTTGGGGATGATCTTCTTGTCTAGAATCTTGCAGAGGTTTTCTGTATTTCCTGCATTTGACTATTGGCCTCTCTAGCAAGATTGGGGAAGTTTTCATGGTTGATATCCTGAAATATGTTTTCCAAGTTGTTTGCTTTCTCCCCCTCTCTTGCAGGGATACCAGTGATTTGTAGATTTGGCCTCTTTACATAATCTCATATTTCACAGAGGTTTTGTTCATTCCTTTTCCTTTTATTCTTTATTTTTGTCTGACTCTCTTATTTCAGAGAGCCTGTCTTCAAATTCTCAGATTCTTTCCTCAGCTTTGTCTACTCTGCTATTAATATTTGTGATTGCATTGAAAAATTATTTTAGTGAGTTTTTCAGCTCTATCAGGTCAGTTAGGTTGTTTTTATACTGGCTGTTTTGTCTGTCACCTCTTGTATCGTTTTATTGTGATTCTTAGCTTCCTGGGATTGGGTTTTGCCATTCTCCTGAATCTCAATTATCTTCATTCCTATCCATATTCTGAATTCTATTTGTTATTTCAGCCATCTCAGTCTGCTTAAGAATTCTTGTTGAAGAACTAGAGTGATCATTTGGAGGACATAAGACACTCTGACCATTTGAGTTGCCAGAGTTCTTTTTTTTTTTTTCTCATCTCTGTGTGTGAGTGTTCCTTTAACTGCAGAACTGCCTCTGATTGAAGTGGTCAGGTGGCAGCTGGGTGATTGTGCTGGAGTCCCAGGTCATGTGGCCTTGCCCAGTGAGGAGAAGTGAGGATCAGGATCTGCATGGAGAACAGTTCAGCCACTTTTCTATGACGTGGATGCTCTGTGTTATGGGTCCCAACCAGCCCTTGGTCCCACAGACTCTCCAGGGCCTGGGGACACAAGGATGAAGACTGTGAGAAAGCAAAGATGACAACCCACCCCTTCCATTGGGAGCTTTGTCCCAGGGCATTGCAGAACTGCTACTGGCTCAATAGTCCCAGTGTAAGGGTGACTGGAGACTAGGCTGGGAGGATCTGCCCCAGGAGAAGATACAGGATTGGGGACCCACATAACATACAGTCTGACCACTTTTCCATAGAGCTGCTACCATATTCTGGGGATCTGCTCCAGTCCCTAGTCACTTCAGATTTTCCAGTACCTGATGGTATCAACAGTGAAGTTTGTCAAACAGCAAAGATGGCGGCCTGCGCCTCCCTCTGGGAGCTCTGCTCCAGGAAGGAATGGACCTGTTACCAGCCCAAACACACTGGCAGGGTTGGCTGGGGATCCCAGAAGTTCCCACTCAGTGAGGAAAAACAGGATCAGGAGGTGCATTAAAAAGCAGTCTGGCCACTTTTTCATAGAGCAGCTATGCTGTCTTTGGGGTCTACTCCAGCCCCCAGTTGCTTCCAGCTCTCCAAAGCCCAAAAGTGACAATGGCTAAGCCTGCAAAACAGTAAAGATGGAGGCCTACCCCTCCTCTGGGAGCTCTGCTAGGGAGGTTTGGGATTGCTACTGGCCGGAAAACACCAGCAGAAGTGGTTGTAGACCTCGGTCAGGGGATTCCTCCCAGTAAACAGAAATGGGATCTGAGACCCACATGAAAAAGTGGTCTGGCCATCTCTTTGTAGAGCTGCTATGTTGTGCTGGGGTACCACTCCAGTCCCTAGTCACCTCAGATTCCCCAGAGCCTGAAGGCACCAATGGTTAAGGCTATGAAACAGCAAAGAAGGCAGCCCAAGCCTCCCTCTGAGATCTCCATCTCAGGGAGGTATAATGTTGCTACCCATGGCAGCCTAGAGTTCAAAGCTATTGGGTCTTATCCTGTGATGTTCCATGGAAATGGGGCTTGCAGATAGTCATTGCTCAGCCCCGTGGATTTAGACCGTTTTCTAGGGGTATATATGGGGGGGGGTGTCTAACCTCCCAGTTTGCCAGAGTTGCAGTTACTTTTGCTGGGAAGCCTGGGTATCTAAAGCTCCTGTGGCTTCCAGTGTGCCTGAGTGGATGCTCTGACGAGACTCCACATAGCTTTGCATGTCAGACTGAAGGCCCTGGTGGAGTGAGTTCATGAGGGATCTCCTGACCTGAGGGTTGCAAAGTTCTGTGGGAAAAGTATGGGTTCCCAAGGTCGCTCACTCACTCACCACTTCTCTGGGCAGGGGAGGCTACCCTGGCTACATGTCATTCCCAAGTGGGTGGTTGTCCTGCCTTGCTTTTCTCTGTTCTCTGTGGGTTGGGTTGTTTTCTTGATGAATCCCAATGCACGTACCCAGTTCAGTTGAAGATACTGTATTTACTTGCCTCTTCTATTTTGCTCTGTGACAGCGGTGCACAATAGGTGCTTCTCGTTGGCCATCTTGGCCAGCCCTCAACTTCTTGTTATTTTATACACTGTGAATATAATACAAATGAATACTATTTATTGCATGCTTATTATGTGTAAGGTATTGTTCTAAGTTCTTTACATCTATTAGCTCTCTTAATTCTCACAAAAACCCAATGAAGTAAGTAATACAGTCATTTATCTTATATCACAAGAAAACTGAGGCTCAAAGGATTTAAGTAAATTTTTCTTCTTGTGATATATTGTGAAACCAGGACTCAAACTGAGGCTCCTTAGTTCTAGTGATCACTGTATTGTGCTCTTTCAAATATTATTCATCTTAATTTTATCTACAATTTTCTTAGTTGACTAGCCATTCGCTATTTTAATGAAGTCATGATCAGCAATTTTCTTCTTTATGTATTGTCTCTTTGTGATTGTACATATTATTTGTTTTAAATTTTCTTTTATTACAAAGGAAGCTTCATGGGCCTGCGACCCATGCAGTCACAAAGGACCCTGCACTCAGAAGGGCCCTATGTTTGATTTAATGCTTTGTGGTCACTGTCTTGAAACTCTTAGTAATTTTTTTTAACTTCCTTTTTTTTATTATTATACTTTAAGTTCTGGGGTACCTGTGCAGAACGTGCAGGTTTGTTACATAGGTATACATGTACCATGGTGGTTTGCTGCACCCATCAACCCGTCATCTACATTAGGTATTTCTCCTAATGCTACCCCTTCCCTACCCTCCCACCCCCTGACAGGCCCTGGGGTGTGATGTTCCCCTCCCTGTGTGCATGTGTTCTCACTGTTCAACTCCCACCTATGAGTGAGAACAAGCGGTTCTCTGTTTTGGTTTTCTGTTCTTGTGATAGTTTGCTGAGAATGATGCTTTCCAGTGTCATCCATGTCCCTGCAAAGGACATGAACTCATCCCTTTTTATGGCTGCATAGTATTCCATGGTGTATACGTGCCATATTTTCTTTATCCAGTTTATCATTGATGGGCATTTGGGTAGGTTCCAAGTCAATGCTATTGTGAACAGTGCTGCTATAGACATACATGTGTGTGTCTTTATAGTAGAATGATACATAATCCTTTGGGTATATACCCAGTAATGGGACTGCTGGGTCAAATGATATTTCTAGTTCTAGATCCTTGAGGAATCGCCACACTGTTTTCCACAATGGTTGAACTAATTTACGCTCCCACCAACAGTGTAAAAGTGTTCCTATTTCTCCATGTCCTTTCCAGCATCTGTTGTTTCCTGACTTTTTAATGATCACCATTCTAACTGGCGTGAGATGGTATCTCATTTTGGTTTTGATTTTCATTTCTCTAATGACCAGTGATAATGAGCTTTTTTTCATATGTTTGTTGGCTGCATAAATGTCTTCTTTTGAGAAGTTTCTGTTCATATCCTTTGCTCACTTTTTGATGGGGTTGCTTTTTTCTTGTAAATTTGTTTAAGTTCTTTGTAGATTCTAGATATTAGCCTTTTGTCAGATGGATAGATTGCAAAAATTTTCTCTCATTCTGTAGGTTGCCTGTTCACTCTGCTGATAGTTTTTTTTGCTGTGCAGAAGTTCTTTAGTTTAATTAGATCCCATTTGTCTATTTTGGCTTTTGTTGCCATTGCTTTTGGTGTTTTAGTCATGAAGTCTTTGCCCAAGCCTATGACCTGAATGGTATTGCCTAGGTTTTCTTCTAGGGTTTCTATGGTTTTAGGTCTTATGTTTAAGTCTTTAATCCATCTTGAGTTAATTTTTGTATAAGGTGTAAGGAAGGGATCGTGTTTCAGCTTTCTACATCTGGCTAGCCAGTTTTCCCAACACCATTTATTAAATAGGGAATCATTTCCCCATTGCCTGTTTTTGTCAGGTTTGTCAAAGATCAGTTGGTTGTAGATGTGTGGTGTTATTTCTGAGGCCTCTGTTCTGTTCCGTTGGTCTATATATCTGTTTTGGTACCAGTATCATGCTGTTTTGGTTACTGTAGCCTTGTAGTATAGTTTGAAGTCAGGTAGTGTGATGCTTCCAGCTTTGTTCTTTCTGCTTAGGATTGTCTTGGCTATGCAGGCTCTTTTTTGGTTCCATTTGAAATTTAAAGTTGTTTTTTCTGATTCTGTGAAGAAAGTCAATGGTAGCTTGATGGGGATAGCATTGAATCTATAAATTACTTTGGGCAGTGTGGCCATTTTCACGATATTGATTATTCCTATGCATGAGCATGGAATGTTTTTCTGTTTGTTTGTGTCCTCTCTTATTTCCTTGAGCATTGGTTTGCAGTTCTCCTTGAAGAAGTCCTTCATATCACTTGTAAGTTGTATTCCTAGGTATTTTATTCTCTTTGTAGCAATTGTGAATGAGCGTTCACTCATGATGTGGCTCTCTGTTTGTCTGTTGTTGGTGTATAGGAATGCTTGCGATTTTTGCAAATTGATTTTGTATCCTGAGACTTTGCTGAAGTTGCTTATCAGCTTAAGGAGATTTTGGGCTGAGATGATGGGATTTTCTAAATATACGATCATGTCATCTGCAAACAGAGACAATTTGACTTCCTCTTTTCCTAATTGAATACTCTTTATTTCTTTCTCTTGCCTGATTGCAGGAAATACGTTGTGAACTTCCCAGCACATCTGTTAGAAAGGAGGTCCAGAAAAAGAGCACAAAGAGAATGGTCTGTATTTAAAGATGTAACAGCTGAGAAAGCACAGTGTAATTTTCAAGAAAATGACTGTAGCCATTCTGCTTGGGCTTACATCTATCATTGCTAATCACTGTCGGAAAAACTTTGGGCAAATGACTTAACATTTCTGTTCCTGTATTTCTTCATCTGTAAAATAAGAATAAAGGTTGTTACGATGATTAAATGAGCTAATATGTATAAAGTACTTAGAATAGGGTCTGACACATACAATGCACCATGTATGTTTTTGCTAGGTAAAAACAAATACATTAATCTTCAGACGGGACTATCAAAATGAGTCTCAAGTCAATGTGGTAGCTAGTCTAGACACATGGATGCCAAGTGAACCATGCCTCTCAGCATTGATGCCCTGTGTGGTTCATTTTTCTTGAACCTGGGCTGGCACAGTGACTTCACCAATAGAATGCAACAAAAATGATGTTCTGGAACTTCGAAGGTACGTTAAAAGAAACCTTACAACTTCTTAATAGATCTCCTGAAACAGTCACTCTTGGGATGCTCCCAAGAAACAAGAATGCATTTGCCATATCAATGGACAAAAACCATTTACCTGAAGCCCTGTTAACTTGTTCTAGCAATGATACCATGTCTGACATGACAGCTGTGATCAAGACTACTAGTCTGCAGCTATTCAGGATTTATCTGTTTTTTGCAAGTGATCTTTCAGTCTTTAGATATTTAAGGGGGCACTAATCTTGGCTATCCTTCCCAGGATGTGATATTGTTGTTAGTTTAATATCCTTGCCAGATGGGGCAGTTTCAAAGCTTCCAGTTGGCATTATCCAGTACGATAGCGCATTTCCCACTGGCCAAGGACTGATGTAGAGGCTTCTCTTACTGCCAAGTATATCAGTCCTAATCGTATAGCCAGTGACTGTGGGAACGACTATTGGATGTGCCTACAGTACTGGGTGACGTACTGTAAGCTAAACTTTAACATGACTCCATTCGTAATCTGGCTTCTGTATGCTCATTGTAACAGTTGGGCCATGGTGATGCTTTGGCTCTTGGAGTATCAGTGTCAACTCAGACAACTGTACTTGAAATATTTGGGTATTCCCCCTTTCCCAGTGTGCAGTAATTTGCATAAATAATGTTAGCTCCCTCTCGGGAAAAACTATAGGTGTCTTTCCAGTAAATGCTTACCACAATGTTGAAGTTCACTTCTTTCTGGAGGACATGACTAAATGTTCAGGTAATAAGTTATGCACCTAAATATTAGCTTGCGTCTGTGAACTGAGCAGGAAATTAGGCCATTTTATTAGAGAGACCACCCTCAGTGTCCTGTTCCTCTACTCTTGCCTTCTTTTGATTGTAGTTTTTAAGCAGCAACCTCATCAGCTGTCCTGTAATTTCGTCTTTAGGGACACATGTTATATTAACCATCACCACAGCTTCCTGTAGGTCAAGACTACTTGGCTACCTTTTTGACTCACTGATGATTACAGCAATTGCCAACTACTAGCTTCCAGTGGTTCAATGCTACCATATATTTTTATTGCTGTAGGCCCCTTTTCTCCAGCAATTCAAACTCTGTGATTACTTCTGTAACCATTATCCCTGGTCTACAAAGAGTCACCACTGAATTTCTTAGTAATTCCAGAACGCCTCTGCCAGAGCATTCTGAATTGTGAATGGTGTGTCTCCTCTGAGTACTCTTGTGGAACATAATATTCTGGTGGCTTTTCTGACCTACATATAGTATATTCTTCCAATACCCCCACTTTCCTGAGTCTCTTTATTCCTTTCCATACCATCTGTCAGGGCAACTCAGTAATTTTAACTTTGATCATCATGGGCCAATGCCTTCCCTGTGCTTGTAAGAGCCACACTAGCAGCACATTTACTTAAGCCCCAGATTCCGTGTCTAAGAACTCAATGTCCCCTAGTTAATATATTCTCATTTATCCAGTTTAGTGTTCTAGTCCCTTGATCATGCACACTCAAAATTCAATCCCATGGTACTCCTGCTGGCACATTGTAACTACTATTTGCACTCCTGTCAGTTTAATCTCTTTTCTATTTTAACATCTCTAGCACAACCCTAATTAATTTATGGGGATTTAACTCTAATTGTTGGCCTGGCGGTCAAGAGAGACATCCACTATCTATAGTAATATGTAGTACAGTAGACATGTACTATCCACAGTAACAAAGAAGATAGAAAGGATATCTATTGAACCCAGATGTTGCTAAGGTGCTTACTAGGAAGAATGATTGTAGTAGTCAGGGTTCTTCTGAGAAACAGAGTCAACAGAATATTGATTGGATGATGGCCACCTACATTAGGGAGGATAATCTGCTTTACTCAATCTATCAATTCAAATGTTAGTCTCATCTAAAAACATCCTCACTGACACATCCAGAAAACTGCTCAATTAAATAAAGTGTGGACATCCTCAGTCAAGCTGACATAAAAACCATCAAAATAGTGAAAGTTCCAACAGATTCTTTTAGCTGACTATTACAAAATAGGGCAGATGTAAGATGAACTAAAAAACAAGGCATTCAATTTTCAATCAGTATTTAGAGGAAAACTAGATTCCAGGACTTCCTAGGATCAAAAAATTAAACTGTATATTAGTGCTAAATAGTCTAGATGGTAGAAGTTTCTCAAAGTAAGAAATGGCTTCAGGGCAAAGATCATATTCCAAGGTGCTGTTAGTGAAGTATGGTTTTTAGGTAAAGATCCCAAGGATGTGACTATAATACCCATTGTTGAAAGCTCAGAAAGATAATGGGGAAGCCTAGAATAGTTTCTAAAAATCTTAAGACAGGCCTCTTAAGCCCTCTATGTTAGACACAGAGGTCACTATGAGTCTTATGGACATGCCTTGTCAACATTTCCAGCTAGAGGCAAAAATGTTTCCAGAAATCTTATTTTAGCTTTATTGAGGTACAATTGACATAAAAAAATTATATGTCTTTAATGTATACATCGTGATGAGTTTGGGCATATGTACACATACTATCATCACCACAACCAGGGTAGTAAGCATATCCACCACCTCCAAAAATGTCCTCATGCTCTTTTGTGTTGTTTTTGTTTCTGTAAAAGCACTTATCATGAGATCTATAGTCTTGTTAACATATTTTAAAGTGCAAAATACCATTTTCTAGTTATAGGTAATATGTTGTACTGCAGATCTCTAGATCTTATTTATCTTGCATAACAGGAACTTTATACCATACCCACTGATAAACAATTCCCCATCTCCCCCTCTACACATTCCTTTATAATCACCATTCTATTTTGTATTTCTATGAGGTTGACCATTTTAGATACCGTTTAAGCATGGCCATGCAACATTTGTCCTTTTGAGACTGTCTTATTTTACTTATCATGATATCCTCTAGGTTTGTCCATATTGTAATAATTGGCAGGATCACCTTCTTTTAAAGGTTAAATAATATTCATGTATATATTCATTTTCTTTATCCATTCATCTGCCAATGAATACTTGGGTTGTTTTTGTATTTTGTCTACTGTAAAAAATTTCAAAATAAACAGAGTGTTGCACATATTTCTTCAAGGCCCTGATTTCAATTCTCTTGGCTATACACCCAGAAGAGAAATTGCTGGATCAGATTGTAGATTTATTTTTAATTTTTAAAGGAATTTTCATACCATTTTGCATAGTGGCTGCAATTTCTATATTCAGTGTATAAGGGATCCAGTTTCTCCACATTCACACCAACACTTTTTTTTTTATAATAACCATCCTAAAATATGTTAAGTGATATCTGACTATGGTTGCCTTTTTCTGATGGTTAGTGGTATTGAGTACGTTTTTATATACTTGTTGGCCATTTATATGTCTTCTTTAAAGAAATACCTATTCAATTATTTTGTCAATTTTAAGTTGTGTGTGTGTGTGTATATATTATTGAGTTGAGAAGATTATTATGTATTTTAGATATTAACCCCTATCAGATAGATGGTTTGAAATATTTTCTCCCGCTTCATAGGATGACTTTTCACTCTGTTGATCATTTCCTTTGTTGTGAAGAAGCTTTTTAGCTTTACATAGTCCTGCTTGTCTATTTTTTATTTTGTTGTTTCAAATCTAGAAAATCATTGTCAAGACCAACATCAAGAAGTTATCTCCTTATTTTTTTTCTTCTAGGAGTTTTACATTTAAATCTTTAATCCATTTTGAGTTGATTTTGTATATAGTATGAGATAGGGTCCAATTTCATTCTTCTCTATGTAGTTTATTCTACACCATCTATTGAAGGGACTATTCTTTCTCCATTGTGTGTTCTCAGCAATCTTGTCCAAGATCAGTTTACTATCTATATGTGCATTTATTTCTGGACTCTCCATTCTGTTCTATTGGCTTGTATGTCTGTCTTTATCTCAGTACTATACTATTTTAATTAAATGGAAGGCATTCAAATTGAATATAAAATTAACATACAAAATCAATTGCATTCCTATACATTAACAATCTAGCTTTTCTGAGCTATCAGAAAAGGAAGAACCAAAACAATTTCATTTAAAATAGCATAAAAAAGAATAAAATGCTTAGCAATAAACTTAACCAAGGAAGTGAATGACTTGTACACTGGAAACTGTAAAAACATTGATGAAAGGAATTGAAGAAGACTCAAATAAATAGAAACATAACCTATGTTCAGGGCTTAGAAGAATTAAAATTGTAAAATGTCCACACTACCATAACTTGTCTATGAATTCAATGCAATCACTATCAAAATCCCAAAGGCATTTTTTACAGAAATGGAAAAAACTATTCAAGAAAGACCTCAAATAGCCCAAGTGATCTTCAGAAAGAATAGCAAAGCAGATGGTATCACTCTTCTTGACTTCCCAAGATGTTGCAAAGGTACAGTAAATAAAACAGTATTCTACTGGCATGAAGACAGACAGACAGAAATCTCAAGGGTGTTGTCTCACAGTACAGTAATTGTCAGCCCAAGTCAGAGAAAGGCCTGTCCTAAGGAGATGTATGAGTTTGGTACTTATCTAATTGACTAAACCCAAATAAGAATCCTAAGAACCTAAAATATTTTAAAAAGAATTTTATTGGTGGGCCAGGCACAGTGACTCAGATCTGTAATCCCAGCACTTTGGGAGGCTCATGTGGGTGGATCACATGAAATCAGGGGTTTGAGACCAGCCTGCGCAACACGGTGGAAACCCTGTCTCTATTAAAAGTACAAAATTTAGCCGGGCATGGTGGCACATGCTTGTAATCCCAACTACTTGGGAGGCTCAGTTGAGAGAATCACTTGAACCTGGGAGGTGGAGGTTGCAGTGAGCCGAGATTGCACCGTCCCACTGTACTCCAGTCTGGGTGACAGAGTGAGATCCGTGTTAAAAAAAAAAAAAAAAAAAAAAGAAGAAGAAGAAGAAGAGAGAGAATTTTATTGGTATCATCAGTTTCAATTGCATCATCTTAGACTCTAGAGGACGGAGTGAGAAAAATGTCCCCAAATGGGTTTCACAATTGCTATGTAACTGTTATGTGCCTCCCATTTTTTCTCTTTTGGAGTAACATTTTCTATTACTGTCATCTTATATCTACTTTATCATTATGTGCTGAGTGTGTGACGGGAAGATAACCTGACTTCTTCAAGTTCAAAGGTCTTCAGGTCAAAAGGAACCATTCTTGAGGAATCATACTAAATATGCCCCATTTGCACTTTGCCATGATTTGGATTTTAAAAACCTAGACTTTGAGCTGATGCTATAAAGGGATGAGATTTTAAGATTATTAGGAAGAGGAGTAAGTGTACCTTGCATATGGGAACAACATGAATTATTAGTGGTTAGATATGGGACTGTGGTAGATTAAGGATGTCCACACAATTTTTGACACTCTTTCCATTGAAGGTTACAGAAGCTCAGTTGGCCTGCGATTTCTTTGGCCAATAGAGTATGATAGAAGTTATGTTAATGCTGGTTCTTGGTTTTTGTCTTTGAGACAACTAACAGTTTTTGTCTTGGTTTGCTGTCCCCCATGAAAAAGTCTGTCCCGAGGCTTCCCTGTTAAAGAAGCACATGACAGTCAACTGAGAAACTGGAGAGAGAGAGAAAGAGAGAGAGAGAGAGAGAGAGAGAGAGCGAGCAGATCCAGATATTACTGAGCATAGTCAACCCTTTCCTGCTGTGCCCTCCCCAATTTCTGACCCACAGAATCCTGGGATTTGATTAAATAAATTAAGCCATTTAGATTTAGGCTACTATTTGTTATACAGCAGTAGATAACTAGAACCCATGTGTTTTCCTACAGTTCACAGCTTCCATGTAGATGGGATTATGCAATAAACTCTGAGCAACAGAAGTGATAGTCTGAGATAGTTCAGGTGGATAGTGTCTTCTCCACACAGGCATTGTCTCATCAACAAAACTGGAACTGAAGGACCAAAGAAGGTTGACTTGGAAGATAGAAGAAGTACCAGAGAGAGGTCAGATCGTTTGGGTTTGCAAAAGTGAAGGCAGAGGTTTTGAATAGTCAGCCCACCCGCTCAACATAGCTTCCATAGTCTTGTCTATTTGTATCTCTAAATAGTTACAAATGTTGGCATACCACATCTTTTCAGAGCCAGAATCCATTTCTAAGTACTTAGAAACTAAGAAACATCATACCTATTCTTGTCTATTAGCTCCAGAAATACTTCCACAATTATGATTTCATTGTTTTCACTTAGTATGAGTTTGGTACCAAAGGAAAAGAAAAATACATTTTCATGAATTTTTTGTATTTCACCTGTATTACATCATATTACATGCATTACAGTCTGTCAAAATAAGGACAGATAAAGGAAAACGAAACCAAAATAATAGAGTGTTTAAAGTCATCATCTTTCATGACCCAGGGTGGAGAGATACGAGTGGTTATAACACTCTAATGAGATACAAAGTGATTCTTGAGGTGTTTTTTGTTTGTTTGTTTGTTTTACCTAGCTCCACTTTTAATGGTATTTCATAGTAATCCTTGAAGTCTGGCCAGTTGACTTCTAAAACATCTCTGAAGATATAGGTACCAGAACTCTTAGCTGAACAATTGGTTGTTTTCTCTCTTAATTAGTGGTTGCAATGTCATTCAATTTAATTACTTATTAGCCTCTCTGGACCAAGTAAAAAGCATTTTTCATTTGTATTATAAAATGTAAAAATAAAATTGTCAACTTTTAGTAAAAGTTTGTTCCCTTTTTCCACTCTTTCCTATTCTTTTTGTGTCATAAAAGAAATGAAACATTCTAGTGTGTTTCAGTAGCTCATTCTCTCTGCAGCATGTCCTCTGTGTGAGATTCATTTTCTTTAGTTAAACGGTGGGTCTTTTAGGGCACCTTTCCTTTATTTTGTGCAGGACTTTCATAAATCTAACACCTGTAGAGCTTTTTTTGATTAAAATAATAAACAACACAATTGATTAATTTTTCACATGAATAACTGTTGGTGTAGTAAGAGGAAAGTTTTAAGTATTTTATGCTGAAGTAGGGGAAAACACTTCATGTTGCCTGTGTGCCAGCTAACAATGACAAGAATTGCTGTAATCTTAGCTTTTCCTTTCTCCCAGTTGCCATCTTGCTTGGGCTTCAAATAGTCTGAAAACTTTCTATAACAATGGCAGAATTATGCAGACTTCCATGTTATGGAAAGTGTCTTTAGGATGTCATTTTTTACATAACCAGGCTGTAAAAGTAGAATATTTTCAGGGAAGCATCTACAAAATAAGTCATTGGCATTATTCATATTCAATGTAGTGTAAAATCTAAACACTTTTACATTGCAAGTGGTGATGAAATTTTTTATAACCTCTGGGGAGGGCAATTTGGCAGTATCTATCTGAATTACAATAACGATATCTCTTGACCTAACATTTCCATGTCTGAAAGTTTGTCCTACAAATAGACTTGCACATATATAGAATGACGTGTACACAAGATTATACACTGCAACATATGATTGGAAATAACATAGATGTCCAATGATAGGAGACTGATATATCAAATATAATACATGAACAAAGTGGCATATACCATGCATGTTAAAAAAATAAAGAAGCTCTATGTTCTAATAGGGAAAGATCTCCAAGATACACATTGCCCTCAACATTGGTTTGCTCATATAACATGTATTGTTCATTGCCATTCTTTTTTAAAGAAAATATTTGTATTTGACTGTGTAGCATAAAGGATCTCTGTGAGGACAGATAACAACTGATTACATTGATTGTATATGAAGAGTAAGTCAGTGACGGAGGGCAGAGATGGGGAGAAACATTTGACATCTTTTTATGTCTTTTGCATTTTGAATCACCATTAAAAGAACAAAAACCAACCGAACTGAAAAGAAATCATGACATACCTCTTTAAAATTTATTTAAATAATATGCAAGTTAGCATTTACTTTTCCAATTGAATAAACATAGCCCTACATGACAATCCTTAAAATAAAAAAGCATAATAATTTTATTGATCAGACTAAAATGTGTTAAACTAAAAGGATCTCACAGACAAACAGTCCTAAATATCATCTATCTATACAATACATGGGCAATATAGGCAAAATTCTACATGCAATTGCATACAAGTACATGTTAGAATACATAATAAGTCAATTATATCAACTGATATTCCAAAAAATTTTCAGCATTAGGGTTCCATGGCTAGTGTCTTGCATTTTCAAGTATTCCTCATATTACTTAGAAATGTATTGTTTACTACAACTAGATTGGACTTTTTTTTCTTTTATCCAGTTGCCTCTATTTTACACTTATAAACCATCTGAGAAGCAGTAAAATTACACATCTCTACTTTTTCATTGCTGGTTATTTATGCCTCAGAAGAGTTCTCTGGTTTATTCAAATCAAAGCCTTCTGATCACTCTACCCAAGGCCCCCTTCACTTCCTTGTTCCTCAAAGTATAGATCAGTGGGTTTAGTACAGGAGTGACCACAGTGTACATGATGGCAACAATCCGGTCCTGGTCCATGAAGCTCTCTAACGCAGGATGGATATAGGTGAAGAGAACAGGTGCATAGAAAAGAATAACTACCATGAAGTGGGAGGCACAAGTGGACAGTGCTTTACAGAGCATGCTACAAGAACGGGTCTTGAAGAAGAGATAAGTGATAATGTAGAAATAGGAGAGAAGTGTCAGAAAGAAGGGGCCCATGGCAATTGTCCCCGTGACAGTACTGAGTAGCCACTGATTAAGCTCAGTGTTCCCACAGGCCAGCTTTAGCAATGGCTTAATATCACAGAGAAAATGATGGATACGGTTGGAACCACAGAAGTTCAAGCGAGAAGTCATTATGGAGTGCAGCAGGGCATGGAAAAAACCAATGACCCAGATTGTGATGGCCATCTGGGTACAGAGCTGAGGGTTCATGATGACAGTGTAGCGAAGTGGCTTGCAGATAGCCACAGAGCGGTCAAATGCCATCACGGCCAACAACATGGACTCCGTGCTGCCCAGGAAGTGGAAGAAATGAAGCTGGCTTATGCATCCCAAGAAAGAAATTGCTTTGTGTGTAGAGAGAAAGTTCTGCAGCATTTTTGGCAGTGTCACCGTAGAGTAACAGATATCCAGGTAGGACAGGTTTCCCAGGAAGAAATACATAGGGGAATGGAGTCTAGGATCGGAGATGAAAATCATCAGAACGGCTCCATTCCCAGTCACACTGATGAAGTAGATGGTGAGGAAAACCACGAAGAGAAAAGGCTGCAGTTCTTGAATGTCTGTCACTCCCAAGAGGAGAAATTCGGTGACTGAGGTTGTATTCAGCATCACTTCAGACAAAAGACAAAATAATCTATGGAACACTAATCGCAATCAGAATCCTTCCGGCTCAGAATTTTCTCACCAAGCCAAAGATACTTGGAAGGAGAGTACTGTTGTACTTCTTCCAAACCTCAGAAGTTGTATAGAAGCTTAGCTGCTGGTCTCTTCAATATTAAGGATTCATGCATATTATGGACTATGACTTAACCACTTTTTAAAATTAAGTTTATCATTAACGTATTTCTTTCTTCTGGGGATTTAGAACATGTTGCTAACTTACATCTTCTCTGGTTGAGAAGAATACATCCGTATTCTGTTACAACTTTCCTTTCCTACCCCAAGTCAGCGTTAATAGGGGGCAATTTTTAAGTGCACCACCACTTGGATATCTCTTGACCCAGGAAAATGGCTCCTGAAATTTTTTGACTTAAGAGAGGAAGATAAAAATGAACTCATTATAATCACAAAGTCTTTAAAGAGATATAAAAACCTCTTTAAAATAGTAGTAATTATTTTGTTCTCATCTTAGAATGTAGATGAGGCTGGAGATGTTCTCTTACTGATCTCTTTCTAACCCACATCTCTGGCAATGTCATGGAGCTCTACTGGGAAAGGAAAAAATAATACATCAATCAAATATTAACCTGAGGTATATTTGAAGTTTTATCACTGCTATATCAGATAATGTGCTTAGTTTCTTCTACCTAAGCCTTTAAATTTTTTCAAAGTAAATCCCAAATTACTTACTTGATGACAAATGTTATTGTTCCTTTAGTTTCCAGTTGCACTGAGACTTTTTCCTTTTTCACACCCCTGAATCTCTGAATAAGAAAAACTCTTCCAATAGACTCAACAATTCTTCCTTCATTTTACCCAATAGTGTCTTCTTCTAAAGTATCTAAGAATTTAGACCACTGAAAGTTCTGTCTTCTCTTGTGATGCATTTTCTTAAGTCTTATTTTTATTTTGCCTGAAATAAGCTCACTTTTTAGATGTGAAGAAACATTGTATCCAAGTGAATTTTCTCTTTTCTTCTAGTTTCATCAATGTGACACTGACAGTCAGGTTCTCCTCCATCAACCCAGAGGTCTGTTGGCTTCATACCAGTTCTCTCCAAAGTTGCCACACATTTCTAGCCTTTTTCATTTGTAAAATGTGTTTTCTCTATTTGCCCCTTCTTTCCATCAGATAAAATTTCCATTTTCTATGAAAGAAATGTATTCATTTTTCTTTCTTTTGCAGAATTGAAATAATAGAATTTTTTCAGTAACTGTTAAAACACATGAGGGATTATAAGTAAGATAATTATAATGAGGTTTAATATTTGACTAAATTTATACTGTTTACTGAAAGGCAGAAATATATTTTGAAGGTTTTTTCTAACATTATTTGCAAAGTACTTGGGATTATCTTCTATAGGTGCACTGACAAAAGCAAACATAATTTTGTGAAATAGCTTCCTGTTTGTTCCTTTCTTGTACAAATGTAGTGGATTAACTTTTGCATATTAGGAGAAAAGAAGCAAGAATGTGTGGGAAATCCATAGAAATGGCAGGCACTTAGAAAAGAATAAGAACCAATAGAAAATCAGAAGAAAGATGCAGACATTAGAGTGTTTCCTATAAATGGGGAATAATTCGAGGCTGAAAAATTGCTGATGAGAGAAGAAAAGGATTTGGTGTGACTAAAGTTAAAAAAAATAATGAACTAGGAAACATCTCTAGGGAGCCCATAGGATATTTGGCTTTACAGCTAGAGGAAATTTTGAGAGATTATCTAACCTTTACCACACCTCCATGAAGGACTGCCTCCAAACAATTTAAAGTAGCTTTCTTTGATAGCCATGTATGTTGCATATTTTTCAAAACTTTTACCATGTCTTTTAAAAGTACAAATGATAGATAAAATATTATTTTTGGTTCTCTGACCCATAAAATAAAATTGTATCAAAAATCTATTTGGTAAAAAGAAAATTTAAAAAATAATAAATAATAAAACAACATTTTCCTAACGTTTAAAGAATGTTGTTTAGCCAACTTCTCTGTATGAAAATATTTCTTTCACTGCAATTTCAATATTTAGGGATTTCAGATTTGCTTTAGCGAATATCTAGAGAGCCAGGCATGTTGAATAGAGAAGGAGATATGGCAATAAAAGTGCGGAAAACAAAATGCTTTCATAATCTACAACTACAATGAAGACTCCATCATAAAAATAGGAAACCAGCTCTAAATCCTGGGCATCTAACTTTAATACTCGCAAGCAGTCAGGTCACTCATTAACAGATAAAAAATACGAGCAGCTTCCCAACCTGTCTCCTATTCTATTCTCTCACCCGGATTGAGAGTTCAGAATCACAGGTAAAAGAGCTTTTCAGATTTATACTCCCAGTGATTATAAATAGAAAAATATTTGAAGTGATGGTTGATGTTGGGATTGCAGCATAAATTATCTTCAAAAATCTTTTCCTCTCTGAAAATCTGCCTGCCTTCCAATGAGCTGCAGATCTCTAGACATAAAAACCTGAGAGAAACTGTCCCCTGGGTGCTGAGAAGGATTGTCGTGAGAATAAACAGGAGGTCTCTCTGCACCTGCAGCATAAGGAGATAGCCATATGGAATTTCTCTGTAGAATTCCACTTTTCTGTTGTTGTCGTTCTTCTTATCTTTTTTTCTTAATATGTTTGTTCCTTGGTTTCATAACCATGGACAAGACAGTTTTCAATAGCTTAATATATTTGCTGGATTTTTTCTTTAAAATAGTAACCCAATATTTTATTTGACCTTTCACAATACTGTTTTTTAAAATATTTATTTGTTTATTTAAAATACTTTTTCCTAGTCAAATTTCCTTTCATTTCCTATGGTAGAGGTTCAGATTCACTTTCTCTTCTTGAGGGCTCCCTTGGAAAATATTTTGGTATATAAAGTGAAAGAAAATTGGCAATAAAAATTAATAAATATGGTCACTCACATTCCATTGATCAGTACAGAAAGATGATTATCTTTAATATTCTACTGTGGTTCTATGAAAACCAAAGAAAGAGACATAAAGAGAAATAGTATTGCTTTTGTACCTTCTACATCTTACTCTTCACTGTTGCTAATAATACTAAATTATTTTAAATAATTAATTTTGGGGTCCAAAAGCTCACATTTTTCTCTGTTTGGGATAAGGATTTTGGTCTTACCAATGTGTAGCATTACTTTTTGCTAATTTTTAGATAAGAAAATTCTGTCTGAATTACACCAGGGTATCTATGCGTGACCTTCCATCAATCCAAGGATTCTACTAACAGTTGTAACTATGATGTATTTTTTCCATCTTTCTATTGAGTTTCCATTTTTGTTGCTTGGCAAAAGTTTATTATATATATTTATCACAATAATATCTTATTTTAATTTTTTAATTTTGTTTTTTTTTTTAAATCTTTAATTTTTTTTCTTGTTTTGAGTCAGAGTCTTGCTCTGTCATCCAGGCTGGAGTGCAGTGATGCAATCATAACTCACTGCAGCCTCTAATTCCTGGTCTCAAGCAATCCACCAATATCATCCCCCCAAAATGTTGGGATTATAGGTATGAGCCATTCCACATACAAATAATTCCTTATTTTATATACTGCTAATATATTATAAATAAATAACATTTATTGCATGCTCATTGTGTATAAGTTATTGTTCTGAGTTCTTCACATATATTAGCTCATTTAATTCTCACAAAAACCCAATGTAAAAGTATTAAAATTATTCCTTTACTACAAGAAAACCAAGGCTCAAAGGATTTAAGTAAAGTTTCCTTTTCCTTGCAATGGATTGTGAAACTAGGATTCAAAATAAGGCTCTTTAGTTTTAGGGATCACTGCAATGTAATTTCCATTTTTTCAAAATGTCCCCCACTTCAATTTTATCATTTTTTATCTTGCATTGAAACTTAAAGATTATGTAACTGGTTCTGTTAATTAGATTTAGAGTTTTATATTTGTCATTTAGGACTCTAGTCTTCTAGAGGTTATATTTACATATCCTGTGAGATAATCAGCTAGTCTTGGTTCTGGTTGTCTCTATGTAGACAGACTAACCATTCCTTCTTCATCGATTTGTGAGGCCATCTTTATACTATTCCAAGTTCCCCTCAATACATGGTTTGTTTCTCCACTGACTATTTTTTCCATTGAATAAGCTGTAATTTAAGTAATATGATGTTATTGTAGGTCTTAATATCTCATAAGTTAGGAAAAATCATTACTTCTTTTTTTTTCCCCAAAATACCTCCAAGTTGGCTGAGTGCAGTGGCTCACGCCTGTAATCCCGGCACTTTGGGAGGCCGAGGCAGGTGGATCACTTGAGGTCAGGAGTTCCAGACCAGCCTGGCCAGCATGGTGAAACTCCATCTCTACTAAAAATACATAAATTAGCTGGGCATGGGGGTGTACGCCTGTAATCCCAGCTACTCAGGAGGCTGAGGCAGGAGAATTGCTTGAACCTGGGAGGCAGAGATTACCACTGTATTCCAGCCTGGGTGACAGCGTGAGACGCCATAAAACAAAACAAAACAAAACAAAACAAAACAAAACAAAACAAAACACCCTCAAAGTCTTTTGACAGCTTTTTTTCCCAAGTAATTTCAATGTTATAGAAAGTTTGCTTACGGGGAAAGGCCTAGGGCCAACTCAAAACAGGCCCCTTGAATGGAGCTGGAGAGGCTCCAACATGGCTGACTTGATACATCTGGTACTTGGCCCTTCCATGTAAAGTAACCAAAATAACCAGTCAATAATCACACGTTGAATAGATCATCTAAGAGAGAACACCGAAAGTCAGCAGAGAAGTGACCAGGAAGCACCAAAAGCAAAGGAGAAGGAAATGAGACCGCCTGTTCAACCAAGATCGGATATGAGTCTCGAGCGGCTCTCCAATGTGGGAAAAGGGAAAGGGGCAGACTCCCAGCAGCCCACATTTCACCACAGATACCTACAATTCTAGCCACAGGAGATCCCCTCAACCATCGTAGCCCCTGAGACTAACATAGGGAGCTGCCTGGAGACCACGTGAAGGCGCTACCCAAGAAAGAACCTCACACTGGGTCCCACGAACCCTAAGTCCTAACTAACTGCAGCACGGCACCATTTTGACAGCACAGATCCCAACGCACTGCATCTTACTCTGCTTCTGAGACCGAGGCAAGAGCCCTAGGGAGTAATCCCACCTCCCGTTACCCCGACCAGAGGGACAACTACACATTTTTACTTGCCCTGAGGACAAATTTCACTGCCTGCAACTGCTGCCATGATGAACTACTGTGGGGCAGAGGCATGAGCAAAGCCCATGCCTCCCCAGTTTCTTGCCTATGGTTGTTCCCAGGAAAAGCAACCCAGTCCTCCCCAGTCCATGACCACAAAACAGCCACTACCACCCCTATCTGAGCATTCCATCTGTGGCCTGGGGATCCCCCTGCCCCTGCCTACCATAGCCAGTGCCTCATACACCACCAAGGAGCCCATGGGAAGGTCTACTCAGCCTGGCTTCACCCACCCACAGAATCTGAGCACACCGTACAGGGGCCCGAGGGTCACTTAGCCCAGTCCATCACTGGTAGCTCCTCAGCACCCCTCCTG
The DNA here is from genome assembly GCF_000001405.40 of Homo sapiens. NCBI lineage: Eukaryota > Metazoa > Chordata > Mammalia > Primates > Hominidae > Homo > Homo sapiens. Next base: position 700,096 of record NT_167249.2, on the reverse strand, counting down.
GGATCTGAGGTCAGCCCCACTCAACCTTCCCCTGGCACCACAGCTGACATCCACACTCATGTGCCTCCTGTGGATCTGGGAACTGACCTGCCCAACCTGTCACAGCCATTGCCAATATCAGCATGGACTACACGGGTCCCAGAGGGCTGTCCCACCACTGCTACTGCCATCACCCACACCACATCCACTGCCAAAGGGCTCAAGAATTCAACTTCATACCTGAACTACTGATGCCATTCCCAGAAGCCAAGCAAGCCACTTGGAAGCACAAGAACTGTCTTGCCTAAACCCGCTAACATTGGTGCCAGTGTATGCTGCCCTGGGGCCCAAGGACACACATGCTCATCCCACTGATTCTACCAATGGAAGCCGAAGACTGGCCCAACTGGCATCTCAGTTCTTAGCAAGACTTCAGCACAGCCTCCACTAACAACCATATCCTAAGCCACCAAAGAAATCACAGACACCACTGACACTGTTTACAGATGAAGAAATCATACAGAGACTGCACTATTGTACACACCCAGAATCAAAACCAGAGAACCCTACCCAAACTACACCTTAGATACATCTTCTGGAAAAAGTCCTCCCCATGAGAGCAAATTCAAAAAATTTAAAAAAGTAACTGTTATACTAGATATGCAGATATCAACATAAGGACACAATAATTCTCCAGCAACAGATCCCAATAAAAAAGAAATGTCAACAATCCCAGGCAGAGTATTCAAAATTTTGTTACTAAAACAGCTCAGTGAGATACCAGACAGTATTTAAAAATTATACAAAGAAATCAGGAAAACAATTTAGGTTATGAATAAGAACTGTACCAAAGATACAGATATCAGGAAAAAAAACCCCACCTAGTTCTCTATCCCTTTTTTCTATCTTTGATTCCACTCACAAATATGCTTGCTTTTAATCATTCTCTAGGATGTTTAGTTTTTGTTTTATTTATTTTGCATTTTATTCCTCTAAGGAGCTTTCATGGCCATATTGGCAGCATAACTCTCCATTGTATGGGACTTTGAAGGGGAATAGGCCAATTTGTTGAAAACTAAATTGTCTAAGACCCAGTTTCCTAAGAGCTATTTCAGTGAGTCTCATCCTACAACTAATCTGTGTGTTAACATGACTTGTCTTTGACACTTACCCTAAAGTAACAGCGATAGTTGAAATTAAAACTTTGGAGATATTTCTAGTAAATCATAAAATTGATTTTATTGGTTGTTCATGAATTAACATAGGGCTCAGGAAATTTACCATTTCTTTATTCACAGTAAGAAAGAACATTGATCATAATAGTACAAATAATGACTTTAGTTAGATGTTTTTAATTATTTCAGTGGGCTCCATACATAAAGTTGTCTCTGCCAAGAATCTATATAAACACTAATCCCTAAAAGTATGTTAACCAAATTTATCTCCACTGTTTAGTCTTCCCTGTTTGATCATAATTTGCTTAAATCTTTCCATTTCAATATCTGTAGACCTCAGTTTATAATTAATCATTTTTAGTTTTCATTATATTGTTCTAAGTGATATTACTTTTCAGATTCATTAGATGTTAGATTTCTCAAGGATAGGAGCTGTGTCTTCTCTTTCTTTTATATTATCATCACTCTTTTTTTCTTATGACTAATGAAGGGCTCTGCCAAAAATTTATTATTATTACTTAAATCAATGTAGTGATCTCATAAGCACATCAAAGAAAGAATAAACTGATACACAGGGGAAGAGAAATATAAAGAGAATAAGTCCTTGGAGAGAAAATCCCAAAGTGTTAATGCTCAAGATGCTACTGGGAAGGTTTACTGAGAAGATTTAGCCTGTTCATTTTCTGTCCATAATAAGACATGAGATTTGCTTAGATTCCATGTAAGTTGTTTTCAATAAGGGTGTTTATAATAGGTTTTGAGCAGTCAGAACTTTCTCTGATAACTTTATTCAAGGACACAATAAATACATCTGATCTATGATATTTGGATAACTCTTTTGACCCAAAAATTATATTTATACTAAGATACGTGCAAAGGAATGTGCAGAGCAAATTGGCTTAGACTAAATAGAAAAATGATATTATGATAGTAGAGAAAAACTGTTGATGAAAAGAGGTTGAGATCACTGGAATGAGTGGGTTAGAGTGACGGAGGAACCTCTTTGAATATAGGCTATGAAGATTACAGGATGCAACAGGTGGGCTCATTACATAAAACATTTATGAGGGAAGCTTCAAATTTCCTGATCTATTTACTTATGCTTTTTTTGGACTTTTTTTGGTTTCAGGGCAGCAGACTCTATGATCAAGTATAGATGTATGTTATAGTTAAGTGTCTGAGTGTGTACGACTGTTTAATGGAGATAGTGGTAGTGTGTGTATATTTGTGTTACAAAGAGACGAAATAAAGGGAAAAGGAAGTGAGGGAGAAGTAAAAAAAAATAGGTGAGTAACCTTTTAGTATCTATCACAATCAGTTTTCATAAAAGTAGCAGATTCCAATTCGTGTTAGATAATATATTAGATTGTATTTAATGTTAGATAATTATATAACTTTGCAGTAGTATTATTTTTAGTAGAAGAGGGATGGTGTTAATTATTTAGGAAAAAATAATTTCGAAACTGTTGTATAAAGTATTTACTTATGTAGTTTCACAAGCGTACATCCCAAACCCTTAATTATATGCATCTGTTACAATGTCCTTCAGCTATGTTTATGATTCCTGAAATTAATTCTCTTCTCTCCACTATCAATAATTTCACTTTGAACATTTATTCTGTATCTATACCCACGGAATACAGCTCCTAGGTTTTTGTGTCAATTCACCAATCTTATAATTAAATATTCAATACTACTTACTGATGCTAATTAATCAATAAGAATTATTAATGCCATTGAGAGCAGGTCATGCCAAAAATGAATTGTGGAAAAACCTGTACCTATTGGCTAAAAACCATTACTTTTTCTACAAATATACATGTTTATGTTCTGTGTTGCCATGTCCTTTGATAAAAATGGAGGAATCTTCATTTTTTGATTTGTTAATGTAATTGTTATTGGTGTTGTTTATAAAAGAAATTTTGGTAGAAGAGTGAGGGTAAAATTTTAATTGGTATAGGTGTAGGAGGGAATGGAAAGAGGATTGCAAACAGCTGGTATAGGCAAATGTTTACAGAAATTAATTGTAAAGGGGAACACAGAAATGGAATGGAGGTAAAAAGGTAGTACAGGAGAGGAAAATTTTCATGATTTAAGACAGAGATGAGAAAATAACTGGAGCAGTGTTCTTAGAAGATGAGAGAGAATGGGTTCTTGGACACAGGTGGAAGAGGTGGTCTTCATCAGGAGTATCAATTATGAAACCATTAGAAACAGAGTGAATGCACAGTATATGAACACAGTTACAAAACTGTGGGTAGATACTAGGATGAAACTTGGAGATACTCTCTTCTGACTGCCTTTACTTTTCCAAAATAAAAGAAACAATGTCACTCTCCGAGAGAGAGGATGAGAGAGAAGAGTTAGAGGTATGGGCTGTAAAGAGAAAGGGAAATATGTAATTGATTGGCATCTCTAAGATTTCAGGGGTTTTTTTTATTGCTCATGATCCTTGTGGTCATGCATTGGTGTCTGTGCATCTGAAGAAATAGGCATATATTCCAGTCTTTACAGACTGTTTCGGCAGGGAACGCCCTTCATGCATCAGCCTATCCAGAGATTCTGGGCAGGTCATATGGCGTGGTCTGGAAGTAGGTTTGTTCCTGGAGTCCTGGGCAGGATGGCTTAGTGCTTGGGTCATCAGGTGGGTGGGCCTGGTGGCTGAGTCAATGGCATTCCCAAGATTTCAATGCAGTTGAGTATTAATGAATTTAGATCTAGGCAAGTGAGCACAGGTGCATTTTCCTCCAATCGTGTTCAGCTGCAAATGTTTAGATGCGGAGTAAGTAGAGAGTGGTTTGACTTTTTCCAGGTAAAGACATGAAGCACAAATTGGTCAAGGGATGTAAGGATATATGCTACTATAAAGTGACTATAAATATGCATATGGAACTTAAGATGAGTAAGGAGGAGTGTGAGTACATGAGAGTAGTAAAGAACATGAAATAGAATAACTGTAATTTAGGGGATAAAGATTATAGGATTTGTGGTATTGCAGAGAGTAAATTATGAATTTACCTGGTGGTAGTTGGAGTCTAGGATGCTTATTACTGAGATCATGAAGGGTTGAAGTTATTAATGACTAGTGAGTAATGAGTAATAAATCTAGAGTTTAATGATAGGAGAAAGTAGCTGAAGAAGGATAATAATGATTATCAGACAAATGGAAGTACAGAAACCTATAGAAGGGTATCATAATAGGGTCTAACTTAATTTGAGATAGGCTGAAACCCAAAGGATAAATAGATATTTTCTTACATTAAAGGACGGGAGGCCAGGCACAGTGGCTTACGCCTGTAATCCCGGCACTTTGGGAGGCCGAGAAGGGCAGATCACAAGGTCAGGAGATCGAGACCATCCTGGCTAACATGGTGAAACCCCGTCTCTACTAAAAACACAAAAAATTAGCCGGGCGTGGTGGTGGGCGCCTGTAGTCCCAGCTACTCAGGAGGCTGAGGCAGGAGAATGGCGTGAACCGGGAAGGCGGAGCTTGCAGTGAGCCAAGATCGCACCACTGCACTCCAGCCTGGGCGATAGAGCAAGACTCTGTCTCAAAAAAAAAAAAAAAAAAAAAAAAAAAAAAAAAAAAAAAGGGACAGGGGAAGTAAAGAGTGATCCAGGGAGGACAAGCATGAATGAAGTCCCTGTCAAGGGACACCTTGATATATTTGAGGAATTGGAAGATATCCAGTAGGATCACATCCAAGTAATATAAAAGGTGAGACTGAAGAGATAAGCCACAGACATTCATGGAGGGTTTGTAAGCTTGTCCAGTTGGAAGGTACTGAAATGTTTCACATAGAAATTTATACTGTAACGCAGGCCTTTAAACAATCATTCTGGTTACACTATGAAGATGGCTTGAGAGTAGGGGAAGAAAAGAACTGTAGGGCTGCTTTGAAGTAGTTAAGTTTAAAGGCAATCATGACTTGGGCCAGGATAGCGGCAGTGTGGATAAAGAGACGTGAATTTGAGGGATGTTTCAGAGACTTGATGACTGACTTAAAGAGAGTGGATTGAAGCGAAGGAGAAATCAATGTGGTTCTCACATTTCTGGTTTGAACAACTAGATGGTTTTTATTCTGTTCACTACGTTGAAACACTGTGAGAGCATGCTTGGAAAGAGGATGCGTTCTGTTTGACGTGTTGATTTTTGTAATTCAGTAAAGAATTCAACCATCCCTCCATTGAAGGACATTTGGGCTACTTCCAGTTTTGGGTTGTTATGAATAAAGATTCTATGAATATATGAATACAAGCTTTTGTGTGAATTCAAGTGGAGAGTCAAATATGAAATTAGGTAAGTCTAGAACTCAGAGTGGGGGTTAGACAAGAGATCTCCCTCTTAGAAGCTATATAGCCAGAATAAATTTTATACTTGGAAGACATGTAGTTATGATATCAAAGTCACTAGTTCAAAGTCACTTAAAGATATTACTATTTGTCTTTCTTTCAATATTATGTTCATTTTTTCTTGGAATTTATTTCATATTTACTAATTATTATATTAGAATAACAGTCATTTGTAAGAGTACATGGATAGCCAGAATAAGTGACCAATTTTATTCTATAGATTATTTTTCTACACCATTGTTCTGTTTTTCTACATGGTATAGGAACTGTAAGAATATGAAGAATAAGATACTTTCAGTTTCTTTCACCTCTAATAATCTGATATTCCAATGAGTAGACAGACATGCAAAATTCTACCTATAAGAATAAATGGTGGCCAGGCATGGTGGCTTACACCTGTGATCCTAACACTTTGGGAGGCCGAGGTGGGCAGATCACTTGAGATCAGGCACTAGAAACCAGGCTGGCCAACGTGGTAAAACCTTGTCTCTACTAAAATACAAAAATTAGCACAGTGTGGTGATGCGTACCTGTAATCCCAGCTATCTGGGAGGTTGAAGCCTGAGAATTGCTTGAACCCAGGAGACAGAGGTTGCAGTGAGCCAAGATTGCATGACTGTACTCCAGCCTAGGTGACAGAGCAAGACAGTCTTGAAAAAAAAAAAAGAATAAATGGAATAGTGCCTTTGATTTGATAAAACAGAGAAGTGCGTATGACAAGTATAATCTGTAAAACAGATGCCGAAGTAACGACTTTCTAGTCCAAAGTAAGTCACAGTCTCCACTTTGCCATCTATAAAACAGACTGTACTTGTCATATACACTGCCATTTATACATAATATTACTGGGCCTAAATATTTTAGATGCTCAGTTCACTGCTCTTTTTCACAACTATATATTTGTGCATAGTATTGCCATGCTTATTTTTAAAGAAAATAATTTCTTTTTTTGAGTACATAATATATGAACATGGTACAAAATTCAAAATATACTAAAAAGAGTATTTCTTCTGCCTTTGTTTCCTTGACAGCCAGTTTCTCTTCCTAGAGACTACAACAGTTATCAGTTTCTTTTATGTCCATTCAGAAGTACATGTGCGTATAGAAAAAAATGTTAAACAGAAGTTTTAGCATACTACTCACATTGTGCTGCATCTTGATTATATCATTTAACAAGTCACCTTGGCATTCATAACATATATAATTTATATGTATATAGGTACATATGTAAAAATTTGCATATATATGATTTGTGCACCTTTCCGTATCTATCCACCTGGCTATTTTCTTTGTGTGTGTATATATATGTACATATATATATTTTAAAGCTGCATATTATTCTCTCTCATAGGTGTAATAATTCACCTCATCCCCTACTTTGGCTCTTAGGGTTCTGTCTAATTTTTGCTTTTAAAATACTCGAATAAATATTATGGTATATAATAATGATTTCCACACATTGAATAATATCTACAGGTAAATTATAACACAAAGTATGTGATTCACAATTTTCAACTTTGAGAGCTATTGAAAAAATTACCCAGCATATAACTAGTACAAATTATCATCAGAAATTCCTATTTAGCCATTCTCAAACACATATAATTTATTAAGTATTTTGATCTTTGTACAAATATGATTTGCCATTTAATTAAAATCTTATGTATGATTACAATATGCAGTTGTAAGAAAAAATACACAAAGATGCTGTTTTCCCTTTACATGGTTCCTCCCCATGGTAACAAATTGCAGCACAGTTTCACAATCAGGATATTGATGCTGATACAACCCATGAATCTTAATGATAGCCCCAGTTTTATTTGTATTCATTTGTTTTGTGTATCTGAGTTTAATTCTACACAGTTTTATCTCATGTTCCTGTATCTGCCATCATAGTCAAAATACAGAATAGTTCCTCCACCACAAGGATCTTTCTTGGTATCCTTTCATAACCACACACACCTCTCTTCTGCTCCTTCTCCAACTTCATTCTCCAACTGTAACTACCAATCTTTTCCCCATTTCTAAAATATTATTTCAAAAATGTTATATAAATGGAATCATACAGTATATAATTTTTTGGATTTCACTTTTTAAAAAATTAAGCGTAATTTCCTGGAGAGTTTACCAAATTGTTGTTTTCTTTTTATTGCTAAGTAGCATTCCATGGTATGGATATACCACAGTTTGTGTAAGCATTTCTCCATTGCAGGACATTTGGGGTATTTCCAGTTTTTGGCTATTACAAATAGTCTATGAACATTCACATACAAGTTTTTGTGTGAACATGTTTTTATTGTACTGACATAAATTCCAAAGCGTGCAATTGTTGGGTCATATAGTAAGTGTATGTTTAATTTTGTAAGAAACGACTATACTCTCTCCAGAGCAGTTGTACCATTTTATATCCTGACCAGTTTTATATTCATGATCCAGTCTTTCTGTATCCTCCCTAGCATTTGGTGTTGTCACTATTTTTATTTTATCTATTTTGATAGATGTGTTGTAGCATTTTACTGGTTTTAATTTGCATTGTGCTGATGAAAATGATTTTGAACACCTTTTCCTGTGTTAATTTGCCATTTATATATCATTTTCTGTTTATGTTTGTATGTCTTTTCCTAGTTTTTGCCCATGTTTTTGGACTTTTAAGAATACTATTAAGTTTTGAGAGTTCTCTCAGATATGTGATTTGAAACAGTATTTCTTTTTTTCAGTCTTCAGCTTGTCTTTCCATTTTCTTAATAGAGTCTTTTGGCAGAGCTTTTTTTTTTTTCTGGTTAGGTCAAACTAAAATTTTTCCTTTAATGTGTCATGCTTTTGGTGGAAAATCTAAGGACTCCTTGCCTAGCTCTAGACCCTGAATACTGTTTTCTATTTTTTCTAGAAGATATGTAGCTTTACATTTTACATATAAGTCCATGATCTATTTTGTGTTAATTTTTGTATATGAGGTGAAATTTGAATTTAGTTTGTTTTTTCTTTTCTATTATGGATGTCCAATTATTTCAGAACTAGTTGTTGAAAAGACAGTCTTGCTTCCATTGAGTTACTCTGCACATTCATAAAAAATCAGTTGGACATATTTGTGTGGGCTGATTTATGGGTTCTCTATTCTGTTCCATTGATCTGTTTCACTATCACTTGTGTTAATACCATACAAAACCTGATAACTATAGTTAAATAATAAGCTTTAACATTGAGTAATTTGATTTTTCCACTTTTATTCTTCTTTTTCCAAATTGTGTTAGCTATTCAATTTCCTTTGCCTTTACATACACATTTTAGAATAATCCTATCTATGTCTACTAAGAAATATTTCTGGGATTTTGATAAGAATTGTGTTAAACCTGTATATCAATTTGGAGAGGATTGACATCTTTACTATGTTAAATCTTACAATCCATGAATATAATATGTCTCTAACTTTATGTAAATCTTTTGTTATTTCTTTCATCTGTGCTTGAAGTTTTTAGCATACAACTCCTAAACATTTTTTTTAGATTTACAGCCAGATATTTCCATATTTTGAGAGATTATAAATTAAATTGTGTTTTAATTTTGGTTTTCACATATTCATAGTTTATTAAAAATATTTAATTTTTTGTGTTAATCTTGTATCCTGTCACTTTGCTGAACTCATGTATTAGCTATAGGAATTTTTATGTGGAATCCAGGGAGTTTTCTACATAGATAATGACATCTGAAAATAAGTACATTTGTATTTATTACTTTTCAATATATGTGTCATTTATTTCTTTTTCTTGCCTACTACAAGTGGTGAGAGCAGACATCCACGCTTTATTCCTAATCTTAGAAGGAAAGCATTTACCTGGAAGATTTTTATGGATGATCTTTATTGAGTTGACACAATTTCTCTCTATTCCTAGCTTGCTGAGAGTTTTTATCATAAATGGGTGTTGGATTTTATCAAATTTGTTTTTTGCCTCAATTAATACGATCATATAATTTTTCTTCTCTATTCTATTTATATGATAGATTACATTTACTGATTTTCAAATGTCTATGTAGTCTTGTACACCTGAAATAAATCCACTTGGCCTATGTAAATTCTTTCTACATATTGCATTCTATTTTCTAATAATTGATTGAGGATATTTTGTCTATATTCATGAGAGATATTGGAATGTATTTTTTTTGTTTCGTACTGTCCTTGGAGTTGAACTGCATATTACTCTATATATTTATGTTTGTGTGTTTATATATACACATGCTATATAGTATAATAGTATATGTAATGTTAATCAAATTATGATGTTTCTTGGCTTGGATTTCTTTAGATTAATCCTGCAAGGGGTTTATTCAGCTTCTTCAACCTGTATATGCTTATGTTTTCAACAGATTTGGGAAGTTTTAAACTATTATTTATTTAAATACCCTTTGGCATTATTTTCTTTCTCCTCTTCTTCTGGAGCTCTGATGATATGAAAGTTGAATCTCTTGTTATTGTCCCATAGGTCCCCGAGGTTCTTTGCATTGTTTCTCAGTCTGTTTTCTCCCATTGTTCAGATAGGCTACATTTTGTTGATCTGTCCTCATGCTCATTGATTTCATCCTTGGTCATCTCCACTTAACTAATGAGCCCATTCAGTGAGATTTTATTTCTGTTACTGAACTTTCCAGTTCTATAATTTATAACAGGTAGAGTTTTAAAATATTGTATCTTGGACATTTTGGCTATTACAGAACTATAAACTGGAATTTAGGTCCTGTTTAAATCTTTAATTTTAGCAGATAGTCACTCTGTTTAGACCTAGCACACAGGTCCTGACCTAATTTTGTAGGCTGTGCATCCAATGGCAATTTTTTAAGAGACTTTTAGCTGTTATTTTTGTGTTCTAGTTTTATTTGGTACTACTGGGGTTTCCATTGTTCTCTGCTGGTACTGCCTGAGAAGGCAGAAGAAGGGATTTCCTTAGGCTAAGCCTTCTGGTGTCCTTGTGCGGTGGAGAGAATATCAAGACTATGAGGACAAAGAGGCTTCCCTGTCGGGGTGCTTGTGGCGGGATTGCCTGCTTGTGCCGGACAGAGACTGCTACTTGCTGGATGATTGTCAAATTGGAATATTTCTTGCTGGTGCCCTCTTTCCCCCTTTCTCACTCTGGTGTCTGTGGGTGGCAGAAGGAAGTCTCAGGCCTGCAGGGCCAGAGGGCCAGGATGCTTGTTATGGTGGGGTCCTTCTCCAGATGCCACCTGACTGCCCTGTTGTCTCTCTTTAGGGGAAGAGAATGCCAGACAGCAGGGAGAGAGGAGCTGAGTAGAGTACTTCTCTGGGTTAGTAGAATTCCTGATGGGCCCCCCTTACTCAAGTGCTGTGTTGTTGGAGGAACTACCTTTTGATAGGAGGCAGGAAAAAACCTACCTAGGCTGCCTTTTGTTGTGGGATGGCGTGTTGGAAGAGGCAAACATTTTTTGTCAAATAAACTAATTGCCTTCTTTAGTTGGGTGAAGGGACAGCCCTGCTGCTGTGTGGTTCCTACAGTTCTGGAATCCCAAAGCAGTTCACCTTCCCACATTTGAGAATTCTTTTTTGGTTACCTCTTGTATTGTTTCTACGGTTTGTAGTTGTACTTAATGGGAAGGGAGATGGGAGAAACCTGTATATACCATCTTATCCGGAAGTCAAAATCACTGTTTTTAAGTTATTTTATTTCGAAAAATCTCAAACTTGCTGGGTGCCTAGACCTGAGCTGGGCAGCGGCAGAACATGCCTTGAGCAGATGGGCATGTGCTTGTGACTAAGTGGGGTGGGAGTCGAGGTGCAGCGCGTTGGTGCTCTTTACAGTGCTCACGGCAGCCTGCTGTAGCGCTTGCCTGCATGTCATATTTCAATTTGCATTTTTCTTATTTTTAATGAGGTTGAGCATCTTTTCCTATCTTTAAGATCTATTCATATTTCCTTTTCTATAAATTGTCTGTATGTTTCTCTCTTTAAAAAAAATTGGTCTGTGTCTTTTAGGTTTATTAAATAATTTATATATTAAGAATGTTAGCACATGGTCTACAATTTGCTTTGTGATTTTATTCCTGGATGCGTTTTGATCTTTTATTTGTAGGATTTTTGTCATGCAGACATTTTCGATGCCTATGTAGTCAAATTTGGTAATCTTTTATTGCTTCAGGTTTTTCTATGATATTTAGAAAATCATTTCCAAATCCAAGATTATTGTTTCCTCCCTTATTCTCTTTTTTTCTGTAAAAGTTTATATGACATATAAAGTACAACACACATACAGAAAAGTGGATAAATCCTGAGTCTCAATAAATTTTCACAAAATGACATATCTGTATAACCAACACACCCACATGAAGAAACAGCTTCATCCATATTACTTAATATAGCTGTAGTTCATTTTGACTCCTTCACAATGTTTCATTTTGTTGATGGACATTTATATAGTTGTCAGTTTTTGATAAAAAATATTGCTGCTATGAACATTTTTATATATTTTGGTATGTGCACCTTCTATTGGCTATATACCTAGGAATGGAATTTCTGGCTTATTCATATATGCGTATGTTTAGCTTGAGGATACTGCCAGATTGTTTTCCAAAATCACTATGCTGATTAAACTCCCTGGAGGAGTATATGAGTGCTCAGGGTGCTCTACATCCTTGTTGACACTTGGTGTTTTCCATCACTTTTTTATTTTAACTGTTCTAGTTATTGTGCAGTGGCACTGCATTGTGGTTTTGTTGCTGGGGGCTCAGGAAGGTCTCCAGATGCAGGTGAGAACCCAGCCCCAGGGGGTTTTCAGGTTCCCCATTCCTTTGCATTTCTATGTAACTTTTAAAATCAGCTTGACAATTTTATATTTTAAAAATCAGGGACTTGTACTGGGATTGCGTTGACTTTTCAGATTACTTTTAGGAGAGTAGACATCTTCATTACAGTATATCTTTCAGCCCATGAATATACCATATTCCTCTATTTATTTAGATATTCTTTATTTCCTCAGAATAATGTTTTGTAGTTTTTAGGATAGAGATCTTATATATTTTTGTTTAGTTTTATTTCTATACATTTATTGTTTCTGATGCTATTGAAAATATCATTGGACATTTTATTTTCATTTGATTGTGGTTAGCATATAAAATATATTTAATTCTTGTTTAATGTCCTCATATCTCAGAAATCTTCTAACCATACAGGCATATCATCTATGAAAATGAGTTTTATTTTTTCCTTTCTAATTCTAAAGTATTTTATTTATTTTTTTCTTGCTTTATGACACTGGCTAGAACCTCTAGGACAATGTTCAAAAAAGTGATGATAGGAGAAATCCTTGTCTCATTCCTGATCTGAAACTTTTCATGTTTCTTCATTAGGTATGATCTTTTCTTATGGTATTTTTTATTAATTTTATCAAATAAACTAATTTCCCTTGTATCCCTAGTTTGCTAAGGATTATTTTATTAAATCATGAGTGGGTGCTAAATATAATCAAATGCTTTTACTGCATCTGTGGTGTTTCTTGTTTTCTTTCTCTAATATGGCTATTGTATTAATTTATTTTTTAATGTTAAATTACCCTTACATCTTGAAATAAATTTTATTTGGTTGCGATGTAGATATTGCTTGTTTTTATTCATTTTTTCAAGATTTTTGCATCTATAGTCACAAGACAGGTTAGTCTGCAGTTCCTTTCTGTTAAGTTTTTTTGTTTTTTTTTTTTTTTTGAGATGGAGTCTCGCTCTATCGCCCAGGCTGGAGTGCAGTGGCGCGACCTCAGCTCACTGCAAGCTCCTCCTCCCGGGTTCAAGCCATTCTCCTGCCTCAGCCTCCCGGGTAGCTGGGACTACAGGCTCCTGCCACCACACCAGGCTAATTTTTTGTATTTTTAGTAGAGACGGTGTTTCACCATGTTAGCCAGGATGGTCTAGATCTCCTGACCTCGTGATCCGCCCTCCTCGGCCTCCCAAAGTGCTGGGATTACAGCCGTGAGCCACCGCGCCTGGCCTCTGTTGAGTTCTTTTTAAAGTGTTGGTATCAAAGTTGTGCTAACCTTATAAAAGAAATATAGAAGTGCTCCTTTTTCATTGTTTTGAAAGTATTTGTGTAAGTTATTATTTCTTCCTTAATTATTTGGTAGAATTCACCAGTAAAATCTGGACTTGGTGTTTCCTTTCTGGAAAAATTTTGAATAAGAACTACACTTTCCTATATAAATATCAAACTATTGAAATTGTCTTTCTTCTACTGTCAATTTTGGTAAGTTACTTTTGGTTTAAGTAATTTTAAAATTTTATTTAAATTGCCAAATTCTTGGGCATGAAGTCGTTCATAACGACCTTTTACAATGTTTGACGTTGATAGTATCTGTAGTGATACTAGCTTAAAATTTGTATTCTCTCTCTCTTTTAACAATTTTACTGAGTTGATAACTTTCATTAATCTTTTCAAATGACTAAATTTTGACTTTGTTGACTTTTCTTTATTGAACTTTTGTTTTCTATTTCAATTATTCTTGTTATTATTTTAGCTATTTCCCTTCTACTTTGTTTAGGTTTGAGTTGTTGGATTATTTGTTCATTCATTCATGCATTCATTCATTTAGCTGTTTGAAATGAAAGTTTAGGTTATTGGTTTTTCAATATTTCTTTTTTTCTAACATATGCATTTAAGGCTGACAATTTCCCTCTATTTATTTCTTTAGCTATATGCCAAAAGTTTTGATATATCTCATCTTCATCATTGTTCATTTCAATTTTTTTCTAATTTTATTTGAATTTTTTCTTTATGAATTATTTGTGTGTATTACATAATATGAAGCAATTGGTGAGTTTCTAGATGCATTTTTCTTATTGTTTTTTAATTCCAGTGTAGTCAAGGGACATTCTTTGAATAGCTCAACCTTTTGAAACCTTTTGAAGCCTTTTGGTAATACTCAACTCATGCTTGATTTTGTAAATATGTACAAGATATACTTGAAAATAATGTGAATTATTTTTTGGTTGGGTTCAGTGTTCTTTATATGTTAATCAAATTTGTAAATTATGTTGTTCAGATGTTTATATCCTTACTGACTTTTTGGCTGATTCTTCTGTCAGGTATAGAGAGAAACTTGTTAAATCTTCTCATTGTGATTGTGGTTTTAACTATGTCTTTATTTCTGTCTATTTTTAGAGTTATTTTATGGAGAACTTACACTGGAGAACTTATGATATTGTGGACCAATTATTAGCAGAAGAATCTTAGTAGGCATGGGTGGGAGGAGTATCCTAGTTAGCCTTTCCAATTCCTCAGTGCAAGGGCTCCCTCTTCTGTTGATAAGGTGGTGATTATTATTATTGTTATTATTATTATTATTATTAATTACTTACAAATGACAAGCTTCCTTTGTTCTTCATATATTTACTATACCTCTTCTCTCCATCACCTTCAGTGCTTAGACTGTGCCTTTTTCTATCCCCTGCCCCACAGAAATTCTCACTCCCTGGGAGGTACTCCCCTTTTGGATTGAAAAATTGGGGGTGTTTTCGAAGTTCTTCTACTAATGGGACCTCTAACTATTTCAAGTTTTTCCCAACTACATCCACTGCCTCATTGCTATGACACAGTCTTGTGACTAATGATGCTAATTTTGCTGTTTTTTTCTCCTCTACTCATACAACATTTGGTTTGTGGGTGTTTATGTTTCTTACTTTCACTGAAAGTTTGGGTTGTCAGAAGACATGTGTTACTCTCTTGTGGCTTTTATGTATCTTAGAAGAAGTGATGAAATCCCCACTGAGCTACATCTGAATTTTTGCCAGAACCTAGAATCATAAGTTGAAAAACTATTCCCTGTTTGTATGTTTAAAATTTTTGTAATACATAATTCTAATGCCATACATGAGGTTATGATTATGTCCATCAAATCTTACACTTCCTAGTTTTGAAAACAAATGCCCTTTATCTATATCTGATTTGTTCATAATATAATGCTTTTATTAGTCTAGTGCCATTTTAACAGCTCAGAATTTATCAGGTATATTAGTCTTCCTCAATTTTGTTGTACATAAATTTAGTTTTACTGTTCGTAACTATTCTTCACACTGTTGCTCACCCCTAGGTTCCTCCAAATAGTAAACTTGCTTTATTTAATCCTCACAGTGTAAAATTAAAAATTCAGAAAAATTAATTCTGTTATTGTTAAATTTGCTTCCCAGAGCAATGGAGAATGTCACTACAATGAATGAGTTTCTTCTACTTGGCCTGACTGGTGTTCAGGAGCTGCAGCCTTTCTTCTTTGGGATTTTCTTAATCATTTACCTGATAAACTTGATTGGAAATGGATCTATATTGGTGATGGTTGTTTTGGAACCACAACTCCACTCCCCTATGTATTTTTTTCTGGGAAACCTTTCTTGTCTGGATATTTCTTATTCTTCAGTGACACTGCCCAAGCTGCTCGTAAACCTCGTGTGCAGTCGCAGGGCTATATCTTTTCTAGGCTGTATCATCCAGCTACACTTCTTCCACTTTTTGGGAAGCACAGAGGCCATTTTACTGGCTATCATGGCCTTTGACCGTTTTGTTGCCATCTGCAATCCTCTTCGCTACACTGTCATCATGAACCCCCAGGTGTGTATTCTGTTGGCAGCTGCGGCCTGGCTCATCAGCTTCTTTTACGCTCTGATGCATTCTGTCATGACTGCACACCTGAGTTTTTGTGGCTCTCAGAAACTCAATCACTTCTTCTACGATGTCAAGCCGCTCTTAGAATTGGCCTGTAGTGACACATTACTCAATCAATGGCTTCTTTCCATTGTCACAGGCAGCATATCCATGGGAGCTTTCTTTCTGACTCTTCTCTCCTGCTTCTATGTAATTGGCTTCCTTCTGTTTAAGAACAGGTCCTGCAGAATACTCCACAAGGCTCTGTCCACTTGTGCCTCCCATTTTATGGTGGTATGTCTTTTCTATGGACCTGTGGGCTTCACATATATTCGTCCTGCTTCAGCCACCTCCATGATTCAGGACCGGATAATGGCCATCATGTATAGCGCCGTCACCCCTGTACTGAATCCACTAATCTACACCCTTAGGAACAAAGAAGTGATGATGGCTCTGAAGAAAATCTTTGGTAGGAAGTTGTTTAAAGACTGGCAGCAACACCACTAGGACTAATGAGGGATATCTGATTTCTATTAAGACTGATTTCCATCACTTCACTGTAAGAAATGATTTGTTTACCTGGTTTATATTTTTCTTTCAAAAATTTTGAGCACATATTATATTAGGCAGTGTAGTAGGTTCAAGAAACACAGGAGCAAGCAAAACAAATTCCATAATGTCATCAAACATAAAGTTTAATGTGATGGAGGCCCCAAATAACCAAACGCGTAAGTACATATGTCAGGATAATTCGGTGGCAAGGAGAACTAAGGAGGTAGGAAGTATGGGGAGGGTTAGAGTAGGAATCTGCTGTGTAAAAAAGAATGTGGCATTTCTCCTAGGACAAAAACCTTTGGAATTTTCCAAGTAATAGAAGTATCTTACTGAAATTCCATATGAGATAATCTTTATTTTTGCCTATTTTTTTTCCTTTTGTGTTTCCTTCAGCAGGAATGTACTGATGATAATTTTTCTCACAACAGTTTTTATCTAGAATATCATTTTTGTTAATCTTAATTCTTGAAGAGAATTTTTAATGGGTATTTAATTTTAGGGAGAGATTTTTCTAGCCATTGAAAATATCTTGTTTTTCCCCAGCTTATTGAAGTATAATTAACAAATAAAAATTGCATATATTTAGGCTTCACAACATGATGCTTTAGTATATGTATACATTGTGAAGAGACTACCACAATCAAGCTAAACCTACATTACTGTCCCTGCATTAGTTTACTGTTGAATACTAGAAGTTCTTCGTTCTATCTAACTGCATTTTCATACCCATTAAGCCAATGTGACAAGCTCTTTGTTTTAGTTGGAGTGTTTGCACAATTTAAATTTGATAAATTTTTGATAGAATTAAATTTAAATTTATCCTCCAACTAAATTTTTGATAGAATTAAATTTAAATTTGTCCTCCAACTGTTTGCCTTTCATTTGTCCTATTTGTCCGTTATTGCTTCTTCTTTCATTTACTGTTTTTTATGGGAATATTTTTATGATTTCATTATATTTTCACTATTGTCCTTTTATTTATACCTTTTTATTTTATATTTTTGTGGTTACTCTGGGGTTTACAATGTACATTTTAAATTCACAAAATATTTCTTCACGTAATATTACACCATTTAAGATGTATTGCTAGAGTCATGCCATACTGTACTTCCATCTCCCTGCTCATGCTTTGTGATTTTAATGTCAAACATTTTACTTTTACTTATGTTATTAGTATCCAAGATACTGCAATTCTGTTTTTTTTGAAAAATTCTATTATTTTTAAGGTAATTAAAAATAATAAAAATGTCTTTTACACTTAAACACATATTTATAATTTCTGGCACTTTTGGTCCCTTCATGGAGACACTGATTTTCATCTCGTATCATTTTTTTGTTGTTGTTGTCTAAAGACTTTCCTTAACTATTTCTTGTAGTAAAGTTCTGCTGGTAATAATTTACTTCAGCTTTTGTTGGCATGAAAAAGTACTTTGCCCTTATTTTTAAGAGATGTTTTCTCTGTATATAAAATTTTAAATTGCCAGACTTTTGTTTATGTGCTTTAAAGCTGTTGCTCCATTACCTGTCTCACATAATTTCTGGTGGGATGCATGCTGCCATTCTTATCTTTATTCCTTTGTAATAACTGTGTTGATTTTTCTCTTGCTGATTTTAAGATTTTTCTTTATGACTTTTTTAGCAAATAGATTATGATGTTCATTGTAAAGTTTTCTAATATTTATTCTATTTAATTTTTATTGAGCTTCTTGGATCTATAGATTATATATTTTATCAAATTTGGAAAAACTCAGTCATTACTTCTTCAATGTTTTTAATCAAACACTTCTTTAGTACTCCACTTGCACATATGTTAGACTGCTTGAAATTATGACATAGGTCATTGATACTTTGTCCATTTTATTAAAAAGATTTCTCTGTGCTTCATTTTGGATTGTTTTTATATCTATATCTCCAAGTTCCTTGATTTTTTCTTCTGCAGTAATTAATCTACTGTTTATTCCATGCACTGCATTTTTCACTTTATATTTTGTATTTTTTATTTAAACAAGTTCTATGTGGGTCTTTAAAAAAATCTCTCTCTTTTTATGTCTGTATTTCCCCTAAATTATTATGCTTATTTTGAGGCATACTTTTTTTTTTGTTAAGGTAGATCCAGAACATTGTTTATTCTGAGATTAATTTAGCCCCCACTACTAAGGTAATATCCTTCTCAGGACTCCACCTAAGTCCTTGTCTATTACAAGCTGTTCCAATCAGGCTGATGGGTCATGGGACATACCCAACCCTGTCTTGTACAGTGTATTAAAATCATTGCTTTATATATTTTATTCCATTTTTTAGATGTTTAATCAGGAGAGAAAATCTCGTTACTTTATTATGGCAAGTAATGAAACACAAAAATCATTATTTTTGAGGTTGCGGAATGTAGATCTTCCTATCTGTTGTGGGTACACACGACTACTTTCTAGTATCAATAACATTAGTGTGATATAATCTAAATCACAGGCACTAATGTAGTCACTCCTGATCGAGGTACAACATATGTAGCTGGCAATACTGTTCAGGGTTGATGCTTATATTTTTTTTTTCTTAAATTGAGACAGAGTCGCCCTATGTTTCCCAGGCTGGTCTTGAACTCCTGGGCTCAAGGGATCTTCCTGCCTCTGCCTCCCAAAGTGATAGGATTACAGGTGTGAGCCAGCACTCCAGGCCTTATCTTAAATTCACACTTTGTTAACTTTTTTTCTCCTTTTTTTGTAGAAACAAACAGAGCAAATATTTCAGTGTATGATGTCCCTGTTTTCCTACTCTGTTCTATGAGTATATCTCTATAGAAGAGTTGATTCTACTATTATTTTGCTCTTAATAATATTTTCCTATTTTCACCTCATTTTTATTATTCTGAATAGATCATCTTTAAAAAGGAAGTGAAATTTTTTTTCCTTTTTGTCTCTACCCTATCTATTTCTTTTTTGTTATGGCCATTTATAGTCACGTACACTCATTTAATCTCAATTTATTCACTGGAAAAAACAGCTGATTTAATGTTAGAGAGCACATATTATTGGTAAATCCCTTATTATACATCATAAAAAGCAAAGACACCCCAAACTCCTAGATTTATAAGAAGAAAACAAGCTACGGGGAAATGATTCCCTATTTAATAAATGGTGCGGGGATAACTTCCTTGTCATATACAGAAGATTGAAGCTGGATACCTACCTTTTACCCTATACAAAAGTTAACTCAAAATTGATTAAAGATTTAAATGTAAGACCTCAAATTATAGAAATCATGGAAGATAACCTAGGAAATACTCTTCTCAACATCGGCTTTGGCAAAAGATTTTTGGCTAAGTCACCAAAAGCAATGGCAACAAAAACAAAAATAGACAAGTGAGACCTGATTAAACTAAAGAGCTTCTGCACAGCAAAAGAAACTATCAACAGAGCAAACACACTATCTACAGAAAGGGAGAAGATATTCACAAACAATGCATCTGACAAAGGCCTAATATCCAGAATCTATAGGGAACTTAAACAAGTCAACAAGCAGAAAGCCAATAATCCCATTAATAAATGGGCAAAGGACATGAAAAAACACTCTCAAAAGAAGACATACATGTGGCTAACAAACATACGAAAAAATTATCAGCATCACTAATTATCAGGGAAATGCAAATCAAAACTGCAGTGAGATATTATCTCACACCAGTCAGAATGACTATTTAAAAAGTCAAAAAACAACAGATGCTATCAAAGCTGCAGAGAAAAGGGAATGCTTATATGCTGTTGGTGGGAATGTGGATTAGTCCAGCAACTGTGAAAAGCAGTCTGGAGATTTCTCAAATAATTTAAAACAGAACTACTATTCAATACAGCAATCTCATTAATGGGTATATATCAAAATAAAATAAATCATTCTACCAATAGGATACATACACTCACATGTTCATTGTTGCGCTGCTCACAATAGCAAAGATGTGGAATGACAGACTGGATAAAGAAAATGTGTTACATATGCACCATGGAATACTATGCAGCCATAAAAACAGAATAAAATAATGTCCTTTGCAGCAACATGGATGGAGCTGGAGGGCATAATTCTAAGCAAGTTAACACAGGAACAGAAAACCAAATACTGCATGTTGTAACTTATAAGTGGGAGTTAAGCATTGAGCACACATGAACATAGGTATGGGAACAATAGACACTGTGGACTACCAGAGGCTTCAGGGATGGGGGAGGATGGGTTAAAAAACTGCCTATCAAGCCAGGTACTAGGCTCATTACCAGGGTGGTGAGATCCATACTCCAAATTTGAACATCATGCAATATTCCCATGTAACAAATCTGCACATATATCCACTATGTCTAAAATAGAAGTTGAATTTTTTTAAAAAAGTAAAAACTAAAAATAAATATAAAATAAAAAAATTTAAAAAGACTTATTGGTAATGAATGTTAGATACAATAAATGAATAATGCAAAATTTATTATCGTCTGTTTTTGGAGTGAAATAACCACTCATAGATATCTTCAGATGATAACTCTCTTGCTGTGTGTACCCAAGTCAGCCGGTAAGAATTTAGCAAGTGATGAAATTGGATAATGCCTAGTAGGTAATTAATTTGTTGAGAATTGAGATTTGATTTTAAGCCATAGGTGATGATTAAGAACCATATGAATCTGGGAGAAATAACTCTTCTTTAATCCAAATTCTTAATTTTAAAGGGCAGGCAATATAATCATTAGAGGTCAAAGGATTCAGAAATTCTGTTTTTATGTGATAGTGGCATACTTAGCTGCCTCAATTCTTAAATAATTATAGGATCAAAATTAATCAAGCAATTATACTTTTAATTTACAAGTCATGCTCAAAATTAATATTTAATCTATCACAAAATATATGGATACTGTATATTCGTTAGTGAGTTTTTGATACATCTTCAAGAACACATAACATGCAAAGGAATAGATATTTGGAGGACTAATCAGTCTTCAGTGGCTGAAGAATATTTCTTCAGTGAGAAGTAGTGTGCAATGTAAGCTTCCCCCACCTCCAGGAGGAAATGAGGATGCTTTCTCCTAATTTAAGCTGAGAGAAAAACCAGTTAGAGAGCTTGATTTCTACATCTGGAATTTTGGAGTCCAAAGACTGATATTTCTTACATGGCCAAGAAGCAAAATCTAGAGAACTGCATTTCCTGTGTTAATAGGGGAAGCATGTGGGTTGTTTCTCACTAGACAGATGTGGGCCAGGAGGTAGTGGTCCACCTGGAGCAGGTCGGACTCCACAGGACACTTTCTGAAGCATAATTATGATGGCAACAGAGCCACTAGAAGACAAATAGATGCTCAGGGGTTGAAGCAGGAACCAGAAGTAGTGAGTCTCAGGACTTGTGCTTGAAGATCCCCAACGTGTGTCTCCGAGGCTCTTGAAATATTCCCATAAGATGTGGGGATCTTCTTAATCCAAAGGGCATTTTCCTTACTCACTCCAGTCCCATGCACTGGCCTTCAGGGACTGAGTAGAGTCTTGGCACTCACCTAGAAAACCCATCACTCAGAAGTTTATCAGCACAGACTCTGTAGGGAACATTATTTTGTGTTACTTCGTTGTATTCTTAAAAACAGCCCCATATCAGTCTCTCAGAGTCTGAATGGTAATCTCTGCTCAATATCTCCAATCACAGGTGAGTGAGTAAGTATTTTTAATTGCTTAACTATAGCTTCATTGCTCTTAGAGATACACTTTTCTGTCTTGCTTTTTGGATATGAGACTAACTGTGTAGGAGATGGAAGTGTAATGACCTGAGGAGTTCCAAAGGAGGGAATAATAAAATTGTCTGTCCCATGCTTTGGGTGACAATCAGCCTACTGAGTATGTGAATCAGGAAGCTTCTTTCATTTTGGGTAATTTTTATGTCATTCAGAATAGCCCTCTGCTGGTTTGCCGATTTTTTATTAAATAAAGGACAGTGTATTTATTCTGCAAAAAGAGACTAAAATGCCACTGGACTGCAGAGAATAGTATCAGGAACACACTTTGTGTGACTTTCTCACAAGAAACCATCTTTCATGTGGATCTAATAACCTTGCATGCTAGCTATTATTGATTGAGCTTTAGCCACACTGATTTTCACGTTTGCTATGTGATTTCAGTTTTTAGTAAGAAATTGGATAGTATATTTTGAGAAAATTTGAAATTTTAAGATTCTGAATTTCTAAGGTCTCTTTTTTGAGAACACTCTTTAATGAAGAGCTACTGGGTCTGTTAGAAGGAAATGAAAAAGTCAAGACTGAGCTTGGAGGGCAAACATTCTCGTGAATTTTCTGGGGGCCTCTCCTTGTGGGTTCTTAGAGGCCATTCTTGAGCTCTTTACTATGATATGAAATTCTGAAAACATTTTCTCAGTTGTCCTTGTATTATATCAAGTTTCGGTTCTTTAGTAAGGAGTCAAGACCATGGCTGCTTGGAAAAGCAGTAATTTTCCTATAACTCTGTGTGAAATACTTGTGCTTTGCGTGGTGAATTCTATTCTGTCTCAGGGTCAATCTATGCCTATGAGAGGCAACAATGACCCATGTAGCACAATTTGAGTACCAGCTGCAGGATGTTGTTCTA
The DNA here is from genome assembly GCF_000001405.40 of Homo sapiens. Lineage (NCBI taxonomy): Eukaryota > Metazoa > Chordata > Mammalia > Primates > Hominidae > Homo > Homo sapiens. The sequence goes on along the minus strand of NT_167249.2, from coordinate 676,825 downwards.
GATTTGGAAATAGAAGAATTTTTTTCTACTCTTAGTTCACTACTTGTTAACTATTTGATCTTATAAGTAATCCACCATAAATTACAGACTCCTCTACTCTAACTAATATAAATGTTATAAGAATAAAAATAATATGTAAGGTCTGAACATTTTTTCCAAGTTCTACATCATAATAAGTATGTAAAAAAGGGAGGAAATACAATTGTTTTCTTGGAAAATTTTGCTATACTGCCTTATATTCCAACAGTAGTAATCCATTACTGAATGTAAGACCACTGTGTCCCCAGTTACGTATTAATTCATTGAGAAATAGATTAGTAAGACAGAATATGCACCATAAGATATTATGGACAAACAAGTGATATAAGTCACACAAATAAGTATGTTGTGTGTTATGTGTCATAATCAAGATTGAAACAAATGCCTATAGATTTTCCAGGAAGGGACAGAAGCATTTCACTTGAAGAGAAAAGAGGCATTTAAGCTGAGCTTTAAAAATATGTAGATTAGCAGACAGAAATGAAAGCAGGAAGAAAAACATACAGGCTGAGTGGATAAAAAATGACTAAAATTAAGAGGCTATTCTGAAAAAGAAAATTCTTATTTTAAGGCAAATAACCTTAGAGGAGTAATACATTATTGTTTAAGTTATTTCATTTAGTCGTTTTATCACAACAGCTTCCCCACAAATAGGGACATGGGAAAGGCATGTTTTGAAGTAAAGGGCAATGATCACAGAACATAGAGGACTTGGGTAACAAAACAAAAGCATCAGGAGATCCCCAGGAGAAAGTAATTCCTTCTCTTAATGTGTAAGAAACCCTGAGAAGGGAGGTGGGCTGCTGAGCCAAGTGTGTCCTCCTTCGCTATTTTGAGAACTGGACAGCTGATACCATCTCATAATGACCTATGTTTGTGTTGGAGGGCAGTTCTCTGCAGGATAGCTTTTCTCATGAGGAATGGTCTGGCAAGAAAAATGGGGCCCCTTATTTTCACAAACAGTTCTTTTAATAACAGCACTCTTTCATACACTAACTGCAATTCAGTGCTTCCTTGAATTTCTTTCTACTTTTATGCTTCTCCTTCTTAGTCTCATAGTTTAGCTTCTACATGCAGGAAATTAGTTCTGAGAAAGTTCAATTCTGTGTTCTCTTTTTTCCTACTTCACACTCTCCCATCCATAGGAGTAGTTTCAACTATCCTCTATATGCTGATGTGTTACAAATTCGTATCTCTAGTACATACCTCTCCTCTGAGGCCACATACCAAAATATGTCAAATAAACATATTTTCTTAGATATTCAGATATCTCAAATTCAGCATGGCCAAAACTGAACACATGATCTCCCCCTGGATTTCCTTTTTTTTTTTTTTTTTTAATATACTTTACTTTAAGTTCAGGGATACATATGCAGAATGTGCAGGTTTGTTACATAGGTGTACATGTGCCATGGTGGTTTGCTGCACTGATCAACACGTCATCTCGGTTTTAAGCCCCGCATGCATTAGCTATTTGTCCTAATGCTCTCCCTCCCCTTGCCACCTACTCCCCAACAGGCCCCAGTGTGTGAGGTTCCCTCCCTGTGTCCATGTGTTCTCATTGTTCAACTCCCACTTATGAGTGAGAACATGTAGTGTCTGGTTTTCTGTTCCTGTGATAGTTTGCTGAGGATGATGGTTCCCAGCTTCATCCATGTCCCTACAAAGGACATGATCTCATTCTTTTTTATGGCTGCATAGTATTCCATGGTATATATGTGCCACATTTTCTTTATCCAGTCTATTATTGATGGGCATTTGTGTTGGTTCCAAGTCTTTGCTACTTTAAATAATGCCACAATAAACCTACGTATGCATGTGTCTTTATAGTAGAATGATTTATAATCCTTTGGGTATATACCCAGTAATGGGATTGCTGGGTTAAATAGTATTTCTGGTTATAGATCCTTGGGTAATTGCCACACTGCCTTCCACAATGGTTGAACTAATTTACACTCCCATCAACAATGTAAAAGCCTTCCTATTTCTCCACATCCTCGCCAACATCTGCTGTTTGCAGACTTTTTAATGATTGCCATTCAAACTGGCGTGAGATGGTATCTTATTGTGGTTTTGATTTGCATTTCTATAATGACCCATGATGATGAGCTTTTTTTCATATGTTTGTTGGCCACATAAATGTCTTCTTTTGAGAAGTGTCTGTTCATATCCATCACCCACTTTTTGATGGGGTTGTTTGTTTTTTCTTGTAAATATGTTTAAGTTCCTTGTAGATTCTGGATATTAGACCTTTGCCAGATGGATAGATAGCCAAAATTTTCTCCCATTCTGTAGGTTTCCTGTTCAGTCCGATGATAGTTTTTTTTTTTTTCTATGCAGAAGCTCTTTAGTTTAATTAGATCCCGTTTGTCAATTTTGGCTTTTGTTGCATTGCTTTTGGTGTTTTAGTCATGAAGTCTTTGCCCATGCCTATGTCCTGAATGGTATTGCCAAGGTTTTCTTCTAGGGTTTGTATGGGTTTAGGCTTTATGTTTAAGTCTTTAATCCATCTTGAGTTAATTTTTGTATAAGGTGTAAGGGAGGGGTCCAGTTTCTGTTTTCTGCATGTGGCTAGCCAGTTTTCCCAGCACCAATTATTCAACAAAGAATCCTTTCCCCATTGCTTGTTTTTGTCAGGTTTGTCAGGTTTTTTCAGGTTTGTCAAAACAAAGGTTTTGTCAGGTTTGTCATGTTGTAGATGTGTGGTGTTATTTCTGAGGCCTCTGTTCTGTTCCATTGGTCTATATATCAGTTTTGGTACCAGTATCATGCTGTTTTGGTTACTGTAGCCTTGTAGTCTAGTTTGAAGTCAGGTAGCATGATGCCTCCAGCTTTGTTCTTTTTGCTTAGGATTGTCTTGGCTATACGGGCTCTTTTTTTGGTTCCATATGAAATTTAAAGTCGTTTTTTCTAGTTCTGAGAAGAAAATCAATGGTAGCTTGATGGGAATAGCATTGAATCTATAAATTACTTTGGGCAGTATGGCCATTTACACAGTATTGATTCTTCGTATCCATGACCATGGAATTTTTTTCTCTTCATTTGTGTCCTCTCTTATTTCCTTGAGAAGCAGTTTGTAATTCTCCTTAAAGAGGTCCATCACATCCCTTGTAAGTTGTATTCCTAGGTATCTTATTTTTTTATGGTAATTGTGAATGGGAGTTCACTCATGATTCAGCTTTCTGCTTGTCTATTATTGGTGTATAGGAATGCTTGTAATTTTTGCACATTGATTTTGTATCCTGAGACTTTGCTGAAGTGGCTCATCAGCCTAAGGAGTTTTGGGCTGAGATGATGGGGTTTTCTAAATATACAATTATGTCATCTGCAAACAGAGGCAATTAGACTTCCTCTCTTCCTATTTGAATACCATTTATTTCTTTCTCTTGCCTGATTGCCCTGGGCAGAACTTCCAATACTATGTGGAATAGGAGTGGTGAGAGAGGGCATCCTTGACTTGTGCAGGTTTTCAAAGAGTACGCTTCCAGCTTTTGCCCATTCATTATGATATTGGCTATGGGTTTGTTGTGAATAGGTCTTTTTTTATATATATGTTCCATCAATATTTATTGAGAGTTTTTAGCATGAAGGGGTATGGAATTTTATCAAAGGCCTTTTCTGCATCTATTGAGATAATCATGTGGTTTTTGTCATTGGTTGTTTATGTGATAGATTATGTTTATTGATTTGTGTATGTTGAACCAGCCTTTTATCCCAGGTATGAAGCCGACTTGATTGTAGTGGATAAGATTTTTGATGTGCTGCTGGATTTGGTTTGCCAGTAGTTTATTGAGCATTTTTGCATCGAGGTTCATTAGGGATATTGGACTGAAATTTTCTTTTTTTGTTGTGTCTTTGCCAGGTTTTGGTATCAGGATGATGCTGGCCTCATAAAATGAGCTAGAGAGGAGTCCCTCTTTTTTATTGTTTGGAATAGTTTCAAAACGAATGGTACCAGCTCCTCTTTGTACCTCTGGTAGAATTCAGCCATGAATCCATCAGATCCTGGAGATTTTTTGTTTATTTAGGCTACTAATTACTGCCTCAATTTCAGTACTTGTTATTGGTCTATTCAGGGATTCGACTTCTTCCTGGTTTAGGCTTGGAAGGGTGTATGTGTCCAGGAATTTATCCATTTCTTCTAGATTTTCTAGTTTATTTGCATAGAGATATTTATAGTATTCTCTCATGGTAGTTTCTATTACTGTGGGATCAGTGGTGATAACTCCTTTACCATTTTTTATTGTGTCTATTTGATTCTTCTCTCTTTTCTTCTTTACTAGTCTGGCTAGCAGTCTATCTCTTTTGTTAATCTTCTCAAATAACCAGCTCCTGCATTCACTGATGTTTTGAAGGGTTTTTCGTGTCTCTATCTCCTTCAGTTCTGCTCTGATCTTAGTTATTTCTTGTCTTCTGCTAGCTTTTGAATGTGTTTGCTCTTGCTTCTTTAGCTCTTTTAATTGTGATGTTAGGGGGTCGATTTTAAATCTTTCCTGCTTTCTGACGTGGGCATTTAGTGCTCTAAATTTTTCTCTTAACACTGCTCTAGCTGTGTCCCTGAGATTATAGTTTATTGTCTCTTTGTTCTCACTAGTTTCAAATAACTTCATTATTCCTCCCTTAATTTCATTATTTACCCAGTAGTCATTCAGGAGCAGGTTGTTAATGTAATTGTGAGGTTTCATGTAGTTGTGAGGTTTTGAGTGAGTTTCTTAATGCTGAGTTCTAATTTGATTGCACTGTGGTCTGAGAGACTGTTTGTTTTGATTTCCATTCTTTTGCATTTGCTGAGGAGTGTTTTACTTCCAATTATGTGGTCGATTTTAGAATAATTGCTATGTGGTGCTGAGAAGAATGTATATTCTGTTGATTTGGGGTGGAGAGTTCAGTAGATGTCTATTAGGTCTGCTTGGTCCAGAGCTGAATTCAAGTCCTGAATATTCTTGATAATTTTCTGTCTCATTGATCTGTCTAATATTGACAGTGGAGTGTTAAAGTCTTCCATTATTATTGTATGGGAGTCTAAGTCTTTTGTAGGTCTGTAAGAACTTGTTTTATGAATCTGGGTGCTCCTTTATTGGGTGCATATGTATTTAGGATAGTTAGCTCTTCTTGTTGCATTGATCCCTTTACCATTGTGTAATGCCTTTCTTTGTCTTTTTTGATCTCTGTCGGTTTAAATTCTGTTTTATCAGAGACTAGGATTGCAACCCCTGCTTTTTTTTTCTCTTTCCATTTGCTTGGTAAATATTTCTCTGTCCCTTTGTTTTGAGCCTATGTGTGTCTTTGCACATGAGATGGGTCTCCTGAATACTGCACACTGATGGGTCTTGACACTTTATTCAATTTGCCAGTCTGTGTCTTTTAATTGGGACATTCAGCCCATTTACACTTAAGATTAATATTGTTAGTGTGAATTTGATCCATTCATCATGATGCTAGTTGGTTACTTTGAACATTAGTTGATGCAGTTTCTTCATAGTGTCTTTGGTTTTTATATTACGGTGTGTTTTTCCAGTGGCTGGTACTACTTTTTCCTTTCCCTGTTTAGTGCTTCCTTTAGGAGCTCTTGTAAAGCAGGCCTGGTGGTGACATAATCCCTCAGCATTTGCTTGTCTGTAAATGATTTTATTTCTCCTGCACTTATGAAGCTTAGTTTGGCTGTATGCAAAATTCTGAGTTGAAAATTCTTTTTTTTTAAGAATGTTGAATATTGGTCCCCACTCTCTTCTGGCTTGTGGGTTTTCTGCGGAGAGATCCACTGTTAGTCTGATGGGCTTCCCTTTGTAGGTAACCTGACCTTTCTCTCTGACTGTCCTTAACATTTTTTCTTTCATTTCGACCTTGGATAATCTGATGATTATGTGTCTTGGGGTTGCCCTTCTCGAGGAGTATCTTAGTGGTGTTCTCTGTATTTCCTGAATTTGGATGTTGACCTGTCTTGCTAGGTTGGGGAAGGTCTCCTGGATAATATTTTGAAGTGTGTTTTCCAACTTGGTCTCATTCTCCATGTTACTTTCAAGTATACCACCCAATCACATGTTTGGTCTTTTCACATAGTCCCATATTTCTTGGAGACTTTTTTCCTTCCTTTTCCCTCTTTTTTCTCTAATATTGTCTTCACACCTTATTTTAGTAAGTTGATCTTCAATCTCTGATATCCTTTCTTCTGGTTGATCAATTCAGCTATTGATACTTGTGTATGCTTCATGAAGTTCTCATGATGTGTTTTTCAGCTCCATCAGGTCACTTATGTTTTTCTCTAAACTTCTAGTTAGCAGTTCCTGTAATCTTTTGTCAAATTTCTTAGCTTCATTGCATTGGGTTAGAACATGCTCCTTTAGCTCAATGGAGTTTGTTATTTCCCACCTTCTGAAGCCTACTTCTGTGAATTCATCAAACTCATTCTCTGCCCAGTTTTGTGCACTTGCTGGAGAGGAGTTGCAATCATTTGGAGAAAAGACATTTTTCTCTAGAAGAATGTTTTTGGAATTTTCAGCATTTTTGTGCTGGTTTTTCCTCATCTTCGTGGATTTATCTACCTTTGATCTTTGAGGTTGATGACCTTTGGATGGGATTTTGTGTGGGGGTCCTTTTTGTTGATGTTGATGTTATTGCTTTCTGTTTGTTAGTTTTTCTTCTACCAGTCAGGCCCCTCTTCTGCAGGTCTGCTGCAGTTTGCTCAAGGTTCACTCCAGACCCTATTTGCCTGAGTATCACCGGTGGAGGCTGCAGAACGGCAACTATTACTGCCTGCTTCTTCCTCTGGAAGCTTCATCCCAAAGGGAAGCCCAGTGCCAGCTGGACTCTCCTCTATGAGGTGTCTGTCAACCCCTGTTGGGGAGTCTCTCTCAGTCAGTAGGCACTGGGGTCAGGGATTCACTGGCAGAGGCAGTCTGTCCCTTAGCAGAGCTTGAGCGCTGTGCTGGGAGAACCCTCCTTGTCAGAATCCACTGTTCTCTTCAGAGCTGGCAGGCAGGAATGCTTAAGTCTGATGAAGCTGCGCCCACAGCTGCCCCTTCCCCCAGGTGCTCTGTCCCAGGAAGATGGGAGTTTTATCTCTAAGCCCCTGACTGGGACTGCTGCCTTTCTTTCAGAGATGCCCTCCCCAGTGAGGAGGAATCTAGAGAAGCAGTCTGGCCACAGCCACTTTGCCACGCTGTGTTGAGTTCCACCCAGTCCAAACTTCCAGGCCTCCTTAGCACTGTCAGGGGAAAACTGCCTACTCAAGCCTCACTAATGGTGGATGCCCCTCCCCACAACAAGCTCGATCATCCAGGGTCGACTTCAGACTGCTGTGCTGGCAGTGAGAATTTTAAGCCAGTGGTCCTTAGCTTGCTGGGCTCCATAGGAGTGGGACCCGCTGAGTGAGAGCACTTGGCTTCAGCCCCCTTTCCAGGGGAGTGAACAGTTCTGTCTGTTGATGTTCCAGGTGCCACTGGGGTATGAAAAAAACTCCTGCAGCTGGCTCAGTGTCTGCCCAAACAGCCACCCAGTTTTGTGCTTGAAACCCAGGCCCCTGGTGGTGTAGGCACATGAGAGAATCTCCTGGTCTGCGGATTGCAAAAACCGTGGGAAAGGTGTAGTATGTGGGTGAATAGCACAGTCCCTCACAGCTTCCCTTGGCTGGGGAAGCTCCTTGCACTTCCCGAGTGAGGCGATGCCACACCATGCTTCTGCCTGCCCTCCAGGTGCTGCACCTGCTTCCTAACCAGTTACCTAACTGGTACCTCAGTTGGAAATGCAGAAATCACCTGCCTTCTGCATTGGTCTCACTGGGAGCTGCAGAGCAGAGCTGTTCCTATTCAGCCATCTTGCCAGATTTGCCAACAAGTGCCAATTTCCTGCTTTCATTTCAGAGAATGACACCCCCAGCCATCTGCTTGTTCAATCCAGGAATCTAGATCAGCACAGTGCACTCGTTTAGGCCACAAAGTGAAATGTAAAACCCAATATCACCACTGCAAGTCTGAGTAACTTTAGGCAAATTATTTAATTTCTCTGAAACTTATTTTAACATTTTTTACTTGTAATATGGACATAATATGTCTCTTTCATTGTGTGCGTGTGTGTTTTTGGTGTGTGTGGGCATGTGAACTGGGTAATACAATGATTGTTGAATGGTTATGTTATAATAAGCATTTAATATATGTTGGTTATAACTACTATCCTTAATTTATCCTTCTTCGTCATTTTATACCAAAATTGTAACACTGTATATTCTAATATCTCTCAAATGCCTCTATTTCTATCCAACCAAATTGTCACCACTCTAGTCTGCAGTATATATATAACGTGATGTTATAATGCATGTATATATTTTGGAATGAGTACAGCAGGCTAAATAACATATCTGCCACCTCACATACTTATCATTACTTTGTGGGGAAATATTTAAAATCCACTCCATTAGCAATTTTGGAATATACAATACATTTTAACTATAGTCACCATGCTATACAATAAATCATTAGAAGTTACTTCTCCTGTGTAACTGAAACTTTGTACCCTTTGACCAGTCCACCCCTGTCCACTCCTACCTCAAACTCTGGTAACCACCATTCTATTCTCTACCTCAATAGATTTGACCTTTTTAGATTCCACATATAAGGGAGATCATGCAATACTTGTCTTTCTGTGCCTGGCTCATTTCACTCAGCATAATGTCCTCTAGCTTAACCCATGTCAGAAATGACAGGATTTTCTTTTTTTAAAGGCTGCATAGTATTCCACCAGGTATATATAACATTTCTTTAGTCATTCATCTATTGGTGAAGATTTAGGTTGTTTCCATGGCTACTGTGAATAATGCTGCAAAGACCATGGGAGTGCAGATATCTCTTTGAGATACTGATTTCAATTCCTTTGAATATATATCCAGAAGTGGAATTGCTGGATCACATAGTAGTTGCATTTTTAGTTTTTTGAAGAAACTGCACTGTTTTCCAAAATGGCTCTATTAATTTACATTTCCATTAACACTGTGCCAGTTCCCTTTTTTCCACATTTTTGCCTTAAAATACATTTGTTGAATAAAATGAGTAGAAGGGTTAATTCCTCCTCAGAAGTGGAAGGAAATGTTAAAAAAGATGAAAGGGGAGATAGAGATTTGGAATAGGGAAAAAGATTGATTTGAGAATACAATTTTGGAGTTCTTCTGTAGATGGAATGAAAATTGTCCCAGTGAATTTATTCAGTTGTGGTAATGTGAAATACTATATTATGTGAATTTTTTCAACTTATCCTCTCCCTTCATTAAAAATATCCACAGTAGTTCACGAGGAAAGAAGACAGCAATTACAACAAAAGCACAATTAAGCCACCTCTCAAACTTGACATTGAAATGCATATTTGTCTATAGGTGAGGGCAATCGATAAAGTATATAGTTTGAATGAATATACAACAATTATCTTCATTTTTAAGTTTTTATTTTGTTTTATTTATCTAAGTTTTTATAATTTGCTTCAAACATCAAACTGCAGATTAATTTTTCTCACTTGAATTAGGCCTTGAGCATTTTAAATTAGGGGATTCTCCCTACAACTGTTTTAATTTTATTAAACATTTTTATTAACCAACTTAAACTAAGCTCTAGAAGAGTATCTTTTAATAACACAAACATGAACATTTAAATTAATCTATAGCTGGTCCAGGAAATAAACAACTACACTAGAAATTGATTGTTCAAATAAACATATTCAAATAAAAACCAGGTATTTAGAAACAATTGGATTTAACCATCAAAACACTGCAGGCATAGCACATTGCCATTAACAGTCAGAAATAGAAGTCATAACAATTTGTAACCAGTTAAAATAATTCAGTTGTATGAACGTAGGTTATATTCAAAACAAGAGAAGTGTTTTTTAAGGGCATTCTGTTGTCATAAGTTAATGGAAATTAAATTTTTAGCCACTCAATTGAAAGTATATTAGCTTTGGGAGTGATAAAGCTACCTTTTTTTTACCTGCTAGCTGCGTGACATCTTCCAGACGTTTATCTTGCTGAGGCTCGGTGCTCTCATCCAGAGAATGGGAATGATAAATATTACTTATCTTAAAGGATTTATGTAAAGACTAAATGAGATGCTGTGTAGGAAGTGCTCAGAGATTATCAGCATCCTTCTATATGAAGCACTTAACAATAATTTGTTGAAACAGACACTAATTCCTGCACCAGCCAAATAGCTCTTGAATTTTCCAGATTGATGATCTATAGCAATAGGTTTCTAATTCATTAGGATAAGTCTCTTGGAAAGTTTATAAAAATTCAGATAACCTAACCCCAAATTCAGGGAATCTAATTCAATATGCTTCTTGTTGAAATTTATCATATCAAAAATGAACAAATAAAACAATATAAATATTCATTAATAAGGGTGGGATATATAAAAACTTTGCTATATTCATACAAATACTTGAATACAACTCAAAGATCATGTTTTAGCATAAAATGTATTGCCACGGAAAATTAAGGAAAAATCAGATTAAAATAGGTACTTTTGATCCTCTATTCAACATTTCTATATGGAAAATGGATCAGAAGAACATATACCAAATCATTAATAGAGATTTTCTCTGGTGACTACTAAAGATTTTTAATGTTTTAAATTTTCTTTTCTATATTTTTCCCAAATATTCTAAAACAAATACATTAATTTTAATCGGAAAAGAATATAAAACAAAATTTATATTAACGTTGAAGTATGAAAAAGGAGAGCAGGGATGGCTTCAAAGAAGCAAATGAATACCAGAGATTCTTCTAGAAATCGCATTCTACAGCACAAGTTCACACATCCCCAAGAAAATGCCGGTGAGCATGACCCAGCCATTATTAACAGAGAACTCTAGGACATATGGTGTCCATTTGTATTCTAATTTAAAACTTCCAGTGTTGTATATTTAAAAAGATTTGATCTGCAGGTGAAACATTGGATGTATTTATATCTGTGTTGCATGGTAGGTAGGAGCTATGGTTTGCAAAAGAATGCTGCTTCTCTGGTTTGACATAAATGGTGATTACTTTTATTTGTAACCGTTTTTTCCCTTATTTTTCAGGTCATGCTATTGCAGCATATGATTCATTTTTATAATCTGGTCTTCTCTTTGCCCAATTCCTGAAAGGAAACCAGGCGACATCATGGAAAGAAAGAATCAAACAGCTATAACTGAATTCATCATCTTGGGATTCTCCAACCTAAATGAATTGCAGTTTTTACTATTCACCATCTTCTTTCTGACTTATTTCTGTACTTTGGGAGGAAATATATTAATGATCTTGACGACTGTGACTGATCCACACCTGCATACACCTATGTATTATTTTCTAGGGAACTTGGCCTTTATTGACATCTGCTACACCACCAGCAATGTCCCCCAGATGATGGTGCACCTCCTCTCAAAGAAAAAAAGCATTTCTTATGTGGGGTGTGTGGTTCAACTTTTTGCATTTGTTTTCTTTGTAGGATCAGAGTGTCTCCTACTGGCAGCAATGGCATATGATCGTTACATTGCAATCTGCAATCCTTTAAGGTATTCAGTTATTCTGAGCAAGGTTCTATGCAATCAATTAGCAGCCTCATGCTGGGCTGCTGGTTTCCTTAACTCAGTGGTGCATACAGTGTTGACATTCTGCCTGCCCTTCTGTGGCAACAATCAGATTAATTACTTCTTCTGTGACATCCCCCCTTTGCTGATCTTGTCTTGTGGAAACACTTCTGTCAATGAGTTGGCACTGCTATCCACTGGGGTCTTCATTGGTTGGACTCCTTTCCTTTGTATCGTACTTTCCTACATTTGCATAATCTCCACCATCTTGAGGATCCAGTCCTCAGAGGGAAGACGAAAAGCCTTTTCTACATGTGCCTCCCACCTGGCCATTGTCTTTCTCTTTTATGGCAGCGCCATCTTTACATATGTACGGCCCATCTCAACTTACTCATTAAAGAAAGATAGGTTGGTTTCAGTGTTGTACAGTGTTGTTACCCCCATGCTAAACCCTATAATTTACACATTGAGGAATAAGGACATCAAAGAGGCTGTCAAAACTATAGGGAGCAAGTGGCAGCCACCAATTTCCTCTTTGGATAGTAAACTCACTTATTGAACCTCACAGGTTCAATAATCTTATACTACAAAATTAACTTTTTCACCAGTCAGCTGTTTTTATTGAAAGTTTAAAAGATAATTGCAATGTTGGGACAGATATTGAAGAGTTGATACACTCCAGTCTAAGTGTACTTATTCTTGAGCTTTAGTTAGTTCTATGAGAGATATCAATGTTGCTCTCTTTAGATATTATCTTCTTATTTATTTTTCCATTCCTGAATTTTGCATTCAAAGACTGTTTCCCTCTTTCATGAGATATTTGTTTAATGGACTTCATCACTTGAAAATTTCCCTGCTTTTTCATATTGCTTTCTGTATATTAAATAATGTGAAATATTTTTCTTCACATTCCTCATATGTGTGTCATATTTTTCTGTTCTTACTACTTAAGCCATGCTTTTGACCTTTCTTTCTTTAGTAGGCCCTTCTTAATAAAACATCATCACCAATAGATTAAGAAATGTAAACACAGTAAAGTGATGTTTTACCTCCAGATCTGTTGGTAGCTAATTTTAATTTTATCACCTGCTGCATGGGCCAAGGCCAATTTATCTTCACATTGGAATGAAGACAGTCATAATTTTCAATCCCATTTGACATGCATTCTTTATTCTATTCAAAAGGCAGAATTTCCTGAGGGATTTTTCTAAAACTAAGTCCCCAAAACATATTACTATTTTATAGAGTATCTTAAATTTGGGAAACTTTTTTCGCTAAAAATTTAGAAAACAGAATCAGATAAAACATACAGAAAAAACAAGGGTTTTTTGATGGGGAATAAAAAGTCTTAGTTATATAATGACTAAATTTAGAAAAAAAAGTAGAAATTACTAATGTTAAAAGTAAAAGTACTTAATTACTATTTTCTATGTGTTATTACCATGTAAAGTACAGTTATGAAGTCAAGACAAATGGGAAAGAAGACTAAGTGGTGGAAGAGAGAAATAAATACAGACACTGGAGAGAAAATTTAAAAGATAAAGAGACTTAGAGATACCAAGAAGGGAAAATAAATAACATACAATGTAAGAGCCTAAGAGATTGAAAGAGAGATAGAAAAAGGCTTATAGATCAGGTAGATACAAGTTGTCTAGTGTCTTTCTTCACTATTCTCTCAGGACCGTCTTCTTTTTCTTCCCATACCTACTGATGCCTCCCTTGATTAAGTCTTGACTTCCCAGCCCCTCTTTTGTGTAATGTTGTCATAGTGTTCTAGTGGAGTGCCTTGTCTCCATTCCTATTCTGTTTAATGTACCCTGCACATCATTTCTGAGTTAACTTTCTTAACATGGTGTTATGTACAGTCTCCTATACTGTTTTTGTTTTAATAAACTCTACTGGCTTACTGGCACACTCTTCATTTAACTAAATATATTTGTAACCACTGTCTATAAAATCTAAGTACTACCTACTTTGTAACTCATCTCCTGCAGGAACCCTAAATAATTCTTCTCCAGGTATGGCTTGATCTTTCCTGACTACATACCACTATTATGACGATTCCCTTAATTTGGAATTCACATCTCCTCCCTTATTTGTTCAAAATTCTCTTCATTCTTTATAGTTCAATTCAAAATCTACTTTCTCCTCCATCATTCCACCTAATGTTTTCTATTCCTCCTTAAATCACATGGTACTGCCTGAAATGGTGGTGGTGGTGGTAGTGAGAGTTACTTGACTAATCTATTTAAAATTACAACTTCTCACCACTCCCCCACTCAATAACTCTTGATAACTCCACTCTGTCTTTCATTTCATAGCAGTTATCTAAAGTTATTATTATCAGAATTATGTATCCTGTTCACCTCTTTATCTTTAGGGCCAAGAAGAGAATAATTCCTGGTCTATCATAGGTGGTAAATACTCCTGAATAAATATATGAACATGGGGGGCAGAAAGGAAAAACCAGTACCAGCCACTGCAAAAACACACTGAAATACAAGGATCAATGACACTATAAAGAAACTGCATCAACTCGTGTGCAAAATAACCAGCTAGCATCATGATGACAGGATCAAATTCACATATAACAATATTAACCTTAAATGTAAATGGGCTAAATGACCCAATTAAAAGACACAGACTGGCAAATTGGATAAAGAGTCAAGACCCCTCAGTGTGCTGTATTCAGGAGATCCTTGACATGTGCCAGGACACACATAGGCTCAAAATAAAGGGATGGAAAAAATTTACCAAGCAAATGGAAAGTAGAGAAAAGCAAGGATTGTAATCCTAGTTTCTGATAAAACAGACTTTAAACCAAAAAAGATAAAAAACACAAAGGAGGGGATAACATAATGGTAAAGGGGTCACTTCAACAAGGAGAGCTAACTATCCTAAATGTATATGCACCCAATACAGGAGCACCCAGATTCATGAAGCAAGCTCTTAGAGAGCTACAAAGAGACGTAGACTTCCACACAATAATACTAAGAGACTTTAACACCCCATTCTCAACATTAGACAGATCATCAAGACAGAAAACTAACAAGGATATTCAGGACTTGAACTTGGCTCTGGATCAAGTGAACCTGATAGATATCTGCAAGCCCTTCCAGCCTGAAACAACAGAATATACATTCTTCTCAGTGCCACGTGGCATTTACTCTAAAATCGATCACATAATGGGAAGTGAAGCACTCCTCAACAAATGCAAAAGAACTGAAATCATAACAAACAGTCTCTCAGACCACAGTTCAATCAAATTAGAACTCAGGATTAAGAACCTCACTCAAAACCAACAATGACATGGAAATTGAACAATCTGCTCCTGACTGACTCCTAGGTAAATAATGAAATTAAGGCAGAAACTAAACCATTCTTGAAACCAATAAGAACAAAGAGACAACATACCAGAATCTCTGGGATGCAGCTAAAGCAATGTGTAGAGGGAAATTTGTAGCACTAGAAAGAACTCAAACTGACACCCTAACATCACAACAAAAGAACTAGAGGAGCAAGGGCAAATAAATCCAAAATTTAGCAGAAAACAAGAAATAACTAAGATCGGAGAAGAACTGAAGAAGAGACAGACACAAGAAAATGCTTCAGCAAATCAATAAATCCAGAAGTTGTTTCTTTTTTGAAGACATTAATAAAATAGACTGCTAGCTAGACTAATAAGAAAAAAGAGAAGAATCAAATAGACACAATATAAATGATAAAGGGCATATCACCACTGACCCCATAAAAATACAAACTACCATCAGAGAATACTATAAATATCTCATGCAAACAAACTAGAAAATCTAGAAGAAATGAATAAATTCCTGGATGCATACACCCTCCCAAGACTACAACAGGAAGAATTCAAATCCTTGAATAGACCAATAACAAATTCTGAAATTGAAGCAGTAATAAATAGCCTAACAACCAAAAAAAGCCCAGCACCAGATGGACTCACAGTCGAATTCCACCAGAGGTACAAAAAGGAGTTGGTACCACTCCTTCTGGAACTATTTCAAACAATTCAAAAGGAGGGACTTCTCCCTAACTAATTTTATAAGCCCAGCATCATCCTGATACTAAAACCTGGCAGAGACGGAACAAAATAAGAAAACTTCTGGCCAATATCTCTGATGAACATCAATGTGAAAATCCTCAATAAAATACTGGCAAATCAAATCCAGCAGCACATCAAAAAGCTTATCTGCCACAATCAAGTCGGCTTCATCCCTGGGATGAAGGCTGGTTCAACAGACACAAATCAATAAATGCAATTCATCACATAAACAGAACCAATGACAAAAACCACATGATTATCTAAATAGATGCAGAAAAGGCCTCCGATAAATTTCAACATCCCTTCATACTAAAAACTTTCAATAAACTAGGTATTGATGGAACATATCTCAAAATAATAAGAGCTATTTATGACAAACCCACAGCCAATATCATACTGAATAGGCAAAAGCTGGAAGCATTCCCTTTGAAAACTATCACAAGACAGGGAAATCCTCTTTCACCATTCCTATTCAACATAGTATTGGATGTTCTGGCCAGGGCAATCAGGCAAGAGAAAGAAATAAAGCGTATTTGAATAAAAAGACTGGAAATCAAATTGTCTCTGTTTGCAGATGACATTGTATATTTAGAAAACCCCATCGTCTCAGCCCAAAATCTCCTTAAGCTGATAAACAACTTCAGCAAAGTCTCAGGATACAAAATCAATGTGCAAAAATCACAAGCATTTCTATACACCAACAATAGACAAACAGAGAACCAAATCATGAATGAACCTTCATTCATAATTGCTACAAAGAGAATAAAATACCTAGGAATACAGCTAACAAGGGATGTGAAAGACTTCAAGGAGAACTACAAACCACTTCTCAAGGAATTAGGAGAGGACACAAACAAATGGAAAAACATTTCATCCTTGTGGATACGAGGAACCAATATTGTGAAAATAGCCATACTGTCCAAAGTAATTTATAGATTCAGTGCTATTCCCATCAAACTACCATTGACATTCTTCAGAGAATTAAAAAAAAAAGGCTACTTTAAAACTCATATGGAACCAAGAAGGAGCCTGTATAGCCAAGACAATCCTAAGCAAAAAGAACACAGCTGGAGGCATAATGCCACCTGACTTCAAACTATAATACAAGGCTACAGTAACCAAAACAGCATGGTAC
The DNA here is from genome assembly GCF_000001405.40 of Homo sapiens. Taxonomy (NCBI): domain Eukaryota; kingdom Metazoa; phylum Chordata; class Mammalia; order Primates; family Hominidae; genus Homo; species Homo sapiens. Next base: position 660,041 of record NT_167249.2, on the reverse strand, counting down.
TGGTACCAAAGCAGACACATAGACCAACAGATCAGAAATAAGACGGCACATCTACAACCATCTGAATTGCAACAAACCTGACAAAAACAAGCAATGGGGAAATGATTCCCTATTTAATAAATGGTGCTGGGAAAATGGGCTAGCCATATGCAGCAAACTGAAACTAGACCCCTTCCTTACACCTTATACAAAAATTAACTCAAGATGTATTAAAGACTTAAATGTAAAACCTAAAACGATAAAAATCCTAGAAGAAAATGTAGGTAATACCATTCAGAGAATAGGCATGGGCAAAAATTTTATGATGAAATTGTCAAAAGCAATTGCAACAAAAGCAAAAATTGACAAGCAGGATCTAATTAACTAAAGAGCTTCTGCACACCAAAAGAAACTACCATCAGAGTGAACAGGCAACCTGAAGAATGGGAAAAAAATTTTGCAATCTACCCATCTGATAAAGGTCTAATATCCAGAATTTACAAGGCACTTAAACAAATTTACAATAATAAAACAAATAACCCCATCAAAAAGTGGGCAAAGGATATGAACAGACACTTCTCAGAAGATACTTACACAGCCAACAAATTATGAAGAAAAGCTCAACATCACTGATTGTTAGAGAAATACAAATTAAAACCACAATGAGCTACCATCTTATGCCAGTCAGAAGAGCAATTATCAAAAAGTCAAGAAACAATAGATGCTGGCAAGGCTGTGGAGAAATAGGAACACTTTTACACTGTTGGAGGGAATGTAAATTAGTTCAACCATTGTGGAAGACAGTGTGGCAATTCCTCAAGGATCTAGAACCAGAAATACCATTTAGCCCAGCAATCCCATTACTGGGTATATAACCAAAGGAATATAAATCATTCTATTATAAAGATACACACACATATGTTTATTGCAGCACTATTCACAATAGCAAAGACTTGGAATCAATCCAAATGCCCATCAATGATAGAATACATAAAATGTAGTACATATATATCATGGAATACTATGCAGCCATAAAAAGGAATGGGATCATGTCCTTTGCAGGGACATAGATGAAGCTGGAAGCCATCATCCTCAACAAAGTAACTGAAACAGAAAACCAAACACCGCATGTTCTCACTAATAAGTGGGAGTAGAATAAAGAGAACACATGGACACAGGGAGGGAACAACACACACCAGGGCCTGTCGGCGGGTGGAGGGTGGGAGAGCATCAGGACAAATGGCTAATGCATGCAGGGCTTAATACCTAGGTGATGGGTGGTTAGGTGCAGCAAATCACCATGGCACACGTTTACCTATGTAACAAACCTGCACGTCTGCACATGTATCCTGGAACCTAAAATAAAATAAAATTTAAAATATATATAAACATACCATAAAACTACCATGACATTGAACATCCTAGAGGGTTTGTGCATGAAAGTTTTTGCTTTCTTACTACTTTTTATGCTCCCAGTTAACACACATCTTACAGGAAGTATACGTTTTAGTATTTCTCACATCCCATAGTTTATTTCATTCACCATAGAATATTATTCCAGAATATTATGTTCACAGAATAGATGAATAAGTAGAGATAATGAATGATATAATTTAGTTGGTTGCAAATATTATTTTAAGTCAAAATTTTCTGACACATTTGCTTATTAGATGATAAAAAATTTTTTTTGGTAAACACGTATTTCTCATCAAATATTTCCAAAGTGGGAAACATCCAAGCCTCATACTTTGACAACATGCTCTTCTGTCTCAATGTAGTCTACCTCTTTTACTTTTTTTTTGCTTTAAATATTAACCATGTACCACTGACTTTCACTTTATTTATCTGCAGCTTTTACTTCTATTCTAAATTCAACCAAATCTCACGCCATATTTTGTTTTAATTCAAACTCATAACCCTTTAATCAAAATCAGTTGCCATCTGTTTTATCAATGCCACTGCAATTCTCACATTCTGTTTATATCCCATTCGTTTTCTTTACTTTCTGATGCTCTTCCAATGATTAACTCACAGCTCTGAACAAATATAGCATTTTGTTAAATCTAAGGCTGTTCAGTTTCAGTATACTAAAGAAAATAAGTAAAGAAACATTAAAAACAAAAAAAGTAAAATACACACAATAAAACCTAGAGAAGTGAATCCCAAAAGCAATATGCTAGCATAGTGATAAGGGAGTGCTGGGAAGGGAAGAACGTGGTCCCTTTAAATGATACAAAAGGGGAGAAGAGAAGTGCTGGGTAGAGGAAGGTGTGTTCCCTGACTAGGGCTCCATCCCACGGACCTAGGTGAGGACAGGCACTCCTGCTTTTTCGCCCAAATGTTGCATTTCAAAAGTCCACCCTGACCCACCATGCCCCCATCCTTGGCCTATAAAAACCCGAGGCCCCAGCAGGCAGACACACAGGTGGCCAGATGTCCAGAGGAGTACATTGGCGAAAGAAGATGCAAGCGGCTGGTCCTCGAGAGAATGTCAAGAGGAGCACGCAGGCAGAAGAGCACACAGACAGGCACCAGCATACCAGCAGGCCATCAGCTGGTGGGAGGAGGTGGAGTTTGGCCGCGGCAGAGGAGAGCAAGGCCGAGTGGCCCAACTCCAGGGGAAGACCATTTCCCTTCTGGCTCCCCCATCAGTTGAGAGCTACTTCCACTCAATAAAGCTTTACACTAATTCTCCAAGCCCACGTGTGATCTAATTCTCCCGGTACACCAAGGCAAGAAACCCTGGGATACAGAAAGCCCTCTGTCCTCGGACAAGGTAGAAGGTCTAATTGGGCTAACACAAGCCACCTGTAGACAGCAAATTAAGAGCACCCTGTAACACACGCCCACTGGGGCTTCAGAAGCTGCAAACATTCACCCCTAAACACTGCCATGGGGTTGGAGCTCCACAGTCTGCCTGTCTGTAAGCTCCCCTAGTTGTTTGAGCAGTGGGGCCCTGAAAAAGCGAGCCACATCCCCATCGCATGCCCTGCGAGGGGGACAAGGGAACTTTTCCCATTTCAATACCACTAGAGAGGTTCACAGACAATTTGAGCCCTGTTTTCTCAAAACAGAAAAGGAAGGACAGTCAGAACTGTGCGAAGTGAGGATAAAGAAACAGAAAAGGGAGCCAATAGTCATTGGCATTATACACCTGAGAAAGCAGCAGCAGTTACCATACTGAGCATAGCCGGAGGAGTTCACCACAGTTAGAGAAATGAAGGCAGAAATGGTAGGTACACCTGTGGATTTGGAAGTTAAAAACTGATGAGGTTTTAAATCAAAGGAATCAAAGGTTTGTTTTTCTTTGTAATATAAGAAAATAATTTGCTTACAATCTTTTTTTACCTGTCATACACTATTATTCGTTTATTGTTATAGTTGGCAAATAAAAATTATATTTATCATGTACAACATGATGTCTTGAAATATGTATACCTTGTGAAATGGCTAATCAACGTATGCAATACCTCACATACTTTTTTGTGGTGAGAAAACTCATCTATTCTTTTGGCAATTTTCAAGAATACAAAACGTTATTAACTACAGTCACCATGTTGTACAATAGATCTCTTGAACTTATTTCTCCTATATAACTGAAATATTGTATCCATTTACCAACATCTCCCCACCACATCCCCTCCCAGCCCCTAGTAACCACAATTCTACTCTCTATTTCTATGATTTCAACTTTTAAAAATTCTGCATAATGTGAGATCATGTAGCATTTGTCTTTCTGTTCCTAGCTTACTTCACTTAAAATAACGTTCTCCAGGTTCATCCATGTTGTCACAAATGACAGAATTTGCTTCTTTTTTAAGACTGAATAGTATTCTATTGTGTACATATGCCATATTTTATTTATCCATTCATCCGCTGATGAACACTTAGGTTGATTCCATGTCTTGGCTATTATGAATGGTGCTGCAATAAACATTGGAGTGCACATATTTCTTTGATATGCTGATTTCATTTCCTTGGATATATACCAAGTAATGGGATTCCTTGATCATATGGTGGTTTTATTTTTAATTTTTTAAAGAACTTTCATATTATTTTCTATAATGGCTATACTTACTCACATTCGCATCAACAGTGCGGAAGAGTTCCTTTTTCTTGACATCCTTATCAGCATGTGTTACCTTTTGTCTTTTTAATATTAATTATTCTAACAGATATAAGGTTATATCTCATTGTGGTTTTCATTTGCCTTTCTCTGCTGACTATTAATTTAGTATTTTTTCATATACCTGTTGGCCATTTGCATGTCTTCTTCTGAGAAATGTCTCTTCAGGTCATTTGATCGTAACCAGGTTATTTGTTTTCTTTAATTGGGTTATTTGTAATATATATTTTGAATAGTAACCTCTTAACAGATGTGTGCTTGGCCGATTACAAAGGTTGTCTCTTCACTCAGTTGATTGTTCGCTTGGCTGTGCTGAAGCATTTTTGTTTGATGTAGTCAAAATTGTCTCTTTTTGGCTTTATTGCCAGTACTTTCCAGGTCATATCCAAAAAGTCTTTCCCAGATCAATGTCATGGAACTTTTTCCCCAATATTTTCTTCTAGTATTTTTACAATTTCAAATTACACATTTAATCCAAATGTCTTTAATCCATTTTCAGTTTTTTAAAAAAATATTGTGTGAGATTAGGGTCCAATTTCATTCTACTGGCATGCAAATATCCAATTGTTCCAACATTAGTTGTTGAAGGAACTGTCTTTTCTCCATTGTGTGCTATTGGCACTTTTGTCAAAAATCAATGGACTGTAAATGCATACATTTATTTCTGAGTTCTTTATTTTTTTCCATTGGTCTTTCTGTCTGTTTTTATGCCAGTACCATGCTGTCTTAATCGCTTTAGCTTTGGAGTGTATTTTCAAATCAGGTAGTATAATACCTGCAGCTTTGTTCATTTTTTGCAAGATTGCTTTGGCTACTTGGGTTATTTTTTTAGTTCCATAGAATTATAGGATTTTTTCCCATTTCTGTGAAACATGTCATCGATATTTTGATGAGATTATGCTGACTCTGTAGATTACTTTGAATAGCATGAACGTTTTAACAATATTATTTCTTCCAATTTGCAGGATATATCCATAGGATGTTTTTCCAATTATTTGTGTCTTTTTCAATTACTTTAATCAATGCTTTATAGTTTTTTTGTGTACAAATCTTTAACCTCCTTGGTTATGTTAATTCTTAAGTATGTTATTTTTCTTTTTTTTGTAGCTATTGTAAGTGGGGTTGTTTTCTTGATTTCTTTTTTAGATTGTTGTTAGTGTATGGAAATAATTTTTATATGTTGATTTGTATCCTGCAACCTTATTGAATTCATTTATTATTTCTAACAGTTTTTTGATAAATTCTTTATAGCTTTTATGTACAATAATATACCACATGCAATCAGGGACAATTTTAACTTTCTCAGGGGAAGAGACAGAATGAGTGTACTTATACCACCGTAATGGGAAAAAGAATGTGCATTTTGAAATTTGATTAACCTTAAGTGAAACAAAATAGTCAGTGTTTATTTCTTCCAGTTACAGTTTTCCATCCCATTTTTAACACTTCCAGTATTGGAAGAGCTTGAATTGTAAATGGATGTGGAAATAGCTATAAGGTGATGGAAGAACCACCATTCTCATAATCAGAAGATGTGCATTTGAAGTTGAACACTACTGATAAATACCAGTGCAATCTTAGTCAAGATAGTTATGGTTTCTTTAATCTGAATTTTCTCTTCTATAAAATAAAAATAATTTTTAAAAACAAAAATACAAAAGTATTTTTTGAAATAACTATAGAAAATAATACATCGTTACTAGGGTGGCTGAATGATGAGCACTAACATCTCTTCCACGCTTATATGTGATGTTATTTAATGTAGTTAATATATATTAACCCATTTAACATGCCACATGTGAGAGATACTATTACCATCTTTTTTACAACTGAGCCACCAAATTAACTAGCTTTCTTTAAGTCACATACCTAACAATTGGTGGTTCATTGTTCAAACTCACACCATCTGATTCTAAAAGATGTATTGTTAACTGGTGTATATGCCATACTGAAAATTAGCTACAAGGTTTATTGCTTTCACAGAACATTTAAAAAGAATGCAGGATTGATTTGTTTATTGGGAGTATTTTATTAGATTATTCTAACCCACTTAGACATAAAACAAAGAAGAATTTGAAATTTTGGAGTTTGAATTCTGTCTCCCAATATAGAGAGTAGGTAACTAGAATAACTTTGGAGGCCTCTACAGTATTTATTTTCTTCTAAGACTACAGGTTATAGCAATTGCTAATTTCTATTAAAGATGTGTGTTCACTGAGGGCTGTACTGGCAAAGAGTCCACACAGTTTACACAGAGCTAACAGCAGCTTCTTAACACCATCATTTTTCAGTTTTCATACAATTAAAAATGGTCTCTTGGAAACTGGCTCTTATCAAGAAAGTTTTTGTTCCACTAGTAGGTCACTTGGGGGCTCATTAGAAAGCTTACAGATAATTGTATTGTTAAGATGTTATAAATGTTTTCGCAAAGTCAATAAGTACATAATTGCTTAGGTGCCTCAAAACTGTTTTCTTTGAAGAGTAAGATGCTCCATCAGGGCATATGTATTAAATACTTCCAAAGTGTCTCCAGAGGTGCCAGCTTTGTTAGGTAGTCCCTGGCGCCTTTCTCTCAGGTGTGCCTCATGGTTTTAACAATTACTTCTGCAAGAGGCCTCTTGGGGTAAGCCACTTAACAAACAGCACTGAGATAAACTTTCTTCAAAGTCTATCCTTCAAAGTTGGCCTCCTTAGGGAAAGAGATGGGTGACTTCATGCAAAGCACCACACTCAACTGTAAAGGAGAAAGGGTCATTACTATTAAAAAAAGAAGACATTTCAGAAAGCCTCAAGGGTGTTTACCTTTTCTCTGAAAGCCCCCTACCCCAGAATGAATGAGAACTGGGTTCTTGTTAATACAAATGTATATACATAGAGAGAGGGCAGAGAGAGAGGCAAGGGAGAGAGTTGGTATTAGCAAAGTTCCAGTTCTCATTCACCCTGGGGACTATGTATGTACAGTATATATTCACATAGCCACCCATTCACTTATTCTCTTGTTTTATTTAATTCACTATTCTGATATACTGGATCATCATTACAGTAGTCTACCATATTGAAAGTTCTATTTAAATTACAAATTAAAATACTAATCCAAGTAACATACAACTGTAAAGAATGTGCCTCATCTTGTAAAACGGAAGCTTTTTTCCACTTGATATTTATGTTGTAGCATTTAAAATTAATTTTGTTCAGTTTTATAATATGAGATCATGCTTTTCTACTATTTATTGCTATTTGTGAATTATAGTATAAATTTGTCATCTATGAATTCAATTTACTGTTGTATACATAGCCTTATGTTTGATTTTTGTTACTATATCTTTCATAGATTCTTTTCATGTAGTTTTGAAAAGCTAGATGCATATTATAAACTTATGTATACTTGTATATATACTTATAAAGCTATGTACAAATTAGTAACATATATATGTAATAAAATTGTGTATTGGAATATTTCATTAGGTTATTTCAGCCATAAAACATGTATCATCATGCTTAAGAACCTATAGGAAGTGAGATTCTGTGTTAGGGAAGAATTACTTTAGACAAGAACAGGACACTTATAATAGTTCTTTGAGAAATCATATTCTTCCTCTACAGCTGTCTTTCCATTCACAACTTATATTTAAAATTTCCTGCTCTAGGAGTTCATCTAGGATTGCATTTGGTACTAATATTGTTAGGCTTTGTGTCCCCACTCAAATCCACATTGAATTGTAATCCCCAGGTGTTGTGGAAGAGACCTGGTGGGAAGTGATTGGATTATGGGGGTGGTTTCCCCATTCTGTTCTCATGACAGTGAGTGGATTCTCACAAGATCTGATGTTTTTATGACTGGTAGTTTTTTCTACACTTGCACAAGCTCTCTTGCCTGCCACCCTGTAAGACGTGTCTTTGCTTCTCCCTCACCTTCTGCCACGATTGTAAGTTTCCTGAGGCCTCTCCAGCAATGCAGAACCATGCGTTCATTAGACCTCTTTTCTTTATAAATTATCCAGCCTGGGGTATTTTTCTTCATAGCAGTGTGAGAATGGACTAATACAGGTACAGTCAAATTAGTGACTGTTATTCCCTCTATCCAAGTCCTCTGCTTTTTCTGTATCAAGAAACTAGTATCAGTTTTTATTTGGAGGAAATGAATTGATGTGGTAAATAAATGTTTGCCACATCAATATGAGAAAAATATTCCATCGTATAGCTTTCATATGTTTTATTTTCTAAAATGCATGAAAGTATCATCTGCTCAATGATACTAGACTGCATACATAACTAAGTAAAATATTATATGGGGCAGAGGTACATTATGCAAGGATATTCTCATGTTACTAGTTGGGCAGAGGATGTATACTTTTATCTTGTTGAAAATTGCAGATAATGTCATTTAATTCAAATGAAAATTATATGCTTTTTAAATTTTAATCTGGTTTGGTTTTGAAATGATATATCAAAATTTTAATATCTAATTTACCAGTTGTTTTCCATTACCAGTCTCCTGGTGTGTACTTCATGACATAAACAAATATATTACTATTCTACAGCAAAAAAAAAAAAAAAAAAAAAAAAAAAAACAACTCCATGAAATAAGTCTCATTGATTTTTATTTATGTATTTGTGTTTTTATATACGTACACAAAAGTGATATGACCGAGAGTTAAGTCCTGCTTCAAGGTAATTGGAAACCTTGATAGCTACTCAGACTCACATGCTAGAACCATTCTCATGATCATCCTATTCAAGCCTCACTCAAATCTAACTGTTAATTGAAATCAAACGACAATAGATAGCTGGTAAAAAGGTGGGGTTATGAGTACAGTGAGCATGATTGTGGACCTATGTATCCTGCCTATTTTCAAACAAATAGAGTGAGAGGTATTCCAATTTTTTAGTTTGAAAATGCAAAATCATCCTTTAAAAATAAAAAGTTTATTCCATTTGCAACAACATGGATGAACCTGGAGAGCACTATGCTCAGTGAAATAAGCCTCTCAGAAAGACTAATACTCCATGAGTCCACTTATGTGAGGACCTGTAACATTTAGCCTCTAGAAGTAGAGAATGAAAGTTATTGCCAAGGGTAGGGGATGGGGGAAATGGAGATAGGGAAATTGTTTTCCAATGAGTATACAGTTTCAGTTATGCTAGATGAATAAGAGCTCTACTGTGCAACATAGTGGCTATAGGTATTGTGCACTTCAAAATTTGCTAAGAGGGTAAATCTCATGTTGTGTTCTTATAAAAAAAAAACAAAAAAAAAAAGCAAAGGGATGCAACGGAACTTTGGAAGGTGATAGATACGTCTATTACCTTGATTGTGGTAATGGTATCATGGATATTTGTATATGTCAAAGCTCATCAACTTGTACATATTAAGTATGTGCAATTCTTTGTATATTATACTCCCAATAAAGCTGTTTTTTTAAAAAAAGAAAAAATAATCAAACTTAATTTGGGGTAAGACATTTGTATTAGTCCGTTTTCACATTGCTATAAAGAATACTACCTGAGAGTGGGTAATTATAAAAGAAAGAGGCTTAATTGACTCACAGTTCTGCATGGCTGGGGATGCCTCAGGAAACTTACAATTATAGCAGAAAGTGAAGGGGAAACAAGAACCTTCTTCACATGGTGGCAGGAGAGAGAAGAGTGAAGGAGGAACTTCCAAACACTAATAAAGCCATCAGAGCTCTTGAGAACTCACTCACTATCATGAGAACAGCATGGGGGAAACCACCCCCATGATCCAATCACCTCCGTCCCTCGACACTTGGGGATTACAATTCGAGTTGTAAGATGTGGGTGGGGAAACAGAACCAAACCATATCAACATTCAAAATGCCAGTTCACGTAGCTGTAATATTTCTCTTTTGTCCTTTTCAAAGGTCATCTTTTTTAGGAAACTATAGATTAACTTTTATTTTGGAATAATTATATTAATATGGCAATACAAGTTCTAGTGACTTGTGTTTGATTTATTCTTATGATTTATATATTCTTTGTAAGCACTCTACAATATTTCTTATGTGAGAATTACCTTTATCACATGTCAAACACATCTGAGGGAAAAATAAATTCCATTTTGTTTTTATTATCTGCAGGAAGCACCTAATGCAAACATGTTCTTTTTTTTCCATTTTACAAAATGATTTACAAAAAAGTTGTTTTAAATAATGTTATTGTTGTGTGTGGCAACCGTGATTTGGAGTATAAGTAATTTATACACTGTTACCCAAAAGACTGTTTTGTAAAGCAAAGTGAAACTGTATGTTTCTCTTACTTACAAAAATAATTATGAAATTTTTTATGTCATGCAAGTCACTCTCTCTCATGAGTAAATAGTTGTTATTTAAATAACAATTAACCCACAAGGTTAGCACATCTTTGAAAATAAATTATTTCTTCTCTAGGACCAAAAGGTACATAAGTGCATGGTGAAGAAGTGTTTTCATTTGCAAAAGTTCTATCGCTAGAAAAATAAATTCAAGCAACATATTGTTAATTTCTTTTCTTTAACTTAGGTCATCCCACCTTTTCCTATCCCATGCTGTCATTCTTTTTTTTTTTTTTTTTTTGAGACGGAGTCTCGCTCTGTCGCCCAGGCTGGAGTGCAGTGGCACCATCTCGGCTCACTACAAGCTCCGCCTCCCGGGTTCACACCATTCTCCTGCCTCAGCCTCCCAGGTAGCTGGGACTACAGGCGCCCGCCATTACGCCCGGCTAATTTTTTGTATTTTTAGTAGAGACGGGGTTTCACCGTTTTAGCCGGGATGGTCTCGATCTCCTGACCTCGTGATCCGCCCGCCTCGGCCTCCCAAAGTGCTGGGATTACAGGCGTGAGCCACTGCGCCCGGCCCATGCTGTCATTCTTACATTTTGGAATGTTTCTTTTTGAATTCTTTGCTCACTAATAAAATTCCTTAGAACCCTAGCACTACTATGAAAAAGCTCTCCAATACCACTACCTACTCCTGATATTTCTGTGTTGTCATTGACATTTGGTTCTTCTCCCAAAAGCTATTTCTCTTATTCTTCAATTCAAAGCTGCTCCTTCTCTCACAGTTTGAGGAGGTGGGTAGGATCAAGGTCTGTATTCTCTAAGTTTCTTATTTTTTTTCTGACTGTTACTTCTTCTCTTTCATATAAAATATCTTGCACTTTGAGGTCATTTTCTTACCACAAAAATTCTCTACATCTTCTTATTTTGCTCATATGCTTATTTTCCAGGCATGTTCCTAACTGCATATTGGGTGCCCATACCAGTTTCTTCTCTCCAGTATCAAATATGGCCATCACCCAGGCATCTATGTTGATGATGCAACCTTCCCACTGACCATCATGCTGCCACAATCAATATTAGGTAGATTATCTTGCCTCCCCACACTAACCTCAGACCTCCTTGACCTCCACTCCTTTTTTATTCTTTTTAAAATTATTGTTGATCATCAACCTAACACAAGACATTGTGGCATAATCCAGATATCAAAAATTCAATTGTGTATCAGGTCAAGTCTCAATTCCCCACCTTCAAATCATTCACCTTATAAAGAGAGAAACACATACACCAGATAATTAGAATACAATGTAGTAAGTGCAACAGTTAATATGAAAGTTACAAAAGTAGTGCAGATGTTATGATCACATCATGAAGATTACCTACATGTCTACTCTAAGACTATATCCCACCTTCATAGTCTTTTGTTTGGTATTGGAGTATGCTCTTTGCCATTCTCCCATTACTTCTCTCATTCCAATTTATTTTATAAATGTATAATTTATAGACAGTTAACATTCTCTTTTTTAGCATATAATTACTTGACTTTTTGCAAACACATATAATCATGCAACTATAGACACAGGCAAGATATAAAACAATTCTGTCACCTCCCAAATCCTCCCATTCCTTTTTATAAACAACACATCACTGACTCCAGCTTCTGGTAACCATAAATTTGTTTCCATCTTTATAGTTTTTTTCTTTTCCCTAATGTAATAATACAAGTAAAATCATATGATATGTGTCTTTTTTCTCTACATCTTTTTCATTTCTTTGGCTTCAAAGATACTTTCAGTTTCTTAACTGCCCACTTTCCGTAAGTCTTTCAGTTCCTTGTAACTGTACTTATGTCCCTATAGAGCCAGACCTCTATGTCTGTAAAGGGCTAGAACAGTAAGCCAGAGGAAAAAAATTTGCAATTTATTTCTGGGACTTCCAACTTCATAACACATTTATCCTCTAGCCACATCTCCAGGGAATACTCCAAAACAGCATCCAGTATTTTCTATACATACGGTTCAGAAAATCTGGAGAAAACTCCACACTCACACACTCTGATGTTGTTTAAAATTAATAGCAATCTTACTTTTCTCTTACTTTATTTGTTATGGTTACTGCCATCTCCTATTTCCTTCAGGAACTGTTTTAAACATTCATCTTTCCTTCATTAATTTACCCACACTCCCTTCATGCTTGGCAGACAGTCTCACCTTCTGTTCCACAGAAGAAACATAAAGCATTAGATAAGTTCATCTAATGCCATTCTCTGTATTTCCAACCACTCTTCTATCTTACTTCAGACTATAATCAAGTTCAAATATTTAAAGTATTGTTAAAAATTAGGTCCACTCATGAAACTGTTGCTAAATGCAAGGAAGTTATTATTGCCCCTGACCAGAAAAGTTCTGGTACAGAGATACAGGTGGAAGCCTGATTTCAATAGGCAGAGTGAATGGGTAGCCTTTCCCACTCCTTATTTTTCATTTCTTTACATCTAATATAGAATGAATGATCAACAACTTCTCTTTAACCAACAACTTATCCTTACTTCCATGTTGGCTGTAATATCCCTAAACTTGGAAGTTAAAAATTATATGAACACATTTATCTGTCTTTGCGTTGGAGTAGTTTTCTTAAGTCACAGTGCACCTAGTTCAGGGTTTCTCAACAGAAGAACAATTGACATTTTGGGCTGCATAATTCTTCATGTGTGGGGCTTTTTAAATATGGTGAAACAAAGCCACAGAAAGGCTAAAGAACTTTCCCTAGCTTCTGGAAACCTTTAGTCACATTTAGTAAGAGGTGGCATGGTGATTTGAAGAGATGATTTTTATGTGTACAGTAAATTTATAAGCAGTTGGTTCCACTATTCCACCTGATTCTCCTATTTTACTGTAGTTTGAATACTTCCATTGAAAAATGTATTTTAAATGTCTGGCCAGAATGAGTCTCGGAGATGGCTCGTGATTGATAGGGCCATGACAGAGATTAGGATCAGAGTGCAGTCTGAGGTTGTATTCCATAGAAGCACAGTCTCTCCTCTCCACCAACCAACTTCACATGCCAGTTATGTAACTCATAACAGCTTAGTGACATGGTCCATACTCTTTTTCAAAATATAAGCAAATTAATATTAGTAAAGTAGTTGCTAAGAGACTCCCATTTGGCCTATGTGTCTGTTTTTGTACCACTATCATGTTGTTTTGGTTAATGTAGCCTTGTAATATAGTTTGAAGTTGGGTAGTATGATGCCTCCAGTATTTTTCTTTTTGCTTAGTATTGCTTTTGCTATTTGGGCTCTTTCTTGATTTCAAATGAAGTTTAGAATATTTTTTCTAATTCTGTGAAAAACAATATTGGTAGTTTGATAGGAATAGCATTGAACGTGTAGATTGCTTTGGAGAGTATGGTCATTTTAACAATATAAATTCTTCCAATCCATGAGCATGGGTTTTTTTCCCCATTTATTTGTAACCTCTATGATTTCTTTCTTCAGTATTTTGTAGTTTTCCTCAAAGAAATCATTCACTGCTTTGGTTACGTGGATTCCAACATACTTTATTCTTTTTGTGGCTATTGTGAATCGGATTGTATTATTGATTTGGCATTCAGCTTCAATGTTATTGGTATATAGAAATACTACTGATTTGTACATTGATTTTGTATCCTGAAACTTTACTGAAGTTTTTATCAGCTCTACAAGCCTTTTGGCAAAGTCTTTAAGGTTTTCTAGGTATAGAATCGTATTGTCAGCAAGGAGATAATTTGACTTCCTCTTTTCCTATTTTGTTGCTTTTTATTTCTTTCTCTTGCCTGATTGTTCTGACTAGGATTTCCAGCACTATGTTGAATAGGAATGGTGAGAGTTGGCATCCTTGGCCTGTTCCAGTTCTTAAGTGTAACACTTCCAGCTTTTGCCAATTCAGTATAATGTTGGCTGTGGGTTTGTCATAGTGGGCTCTTATTATCTTGAGGTATGTTTCTTCCATGCCTAGTATGTTGAGGATTTTTTTCATGAAGGGATGTTGGATTTTATCAAAACATTTTTTCTGCATTCATTGAGATGATTAAATGGTTTTGTTTTTAATTGTTTATGCGGCAAGTCATGTTTATTGATTTGCATATGTTGAACCAACCTTGCGTACTGGTAGTGAAGCCTGCATGATAGTGGTGAATTAGCTTTTTGATGTTCTGCTGGATTCCATCTGCTAGTATTTTATTGAGAAATTTTGCATCTATGTTCATCAGGGATATTTGTCTGTAATTTTCTCTTTTGTTGTTGTGTCTTTACTAGATTTTGGTATCAGAGTGATGCTGGCTTCGTAGAATGAGTTAGGGAGGAGTCCTCTTCCCCATTTTTAAAAAAATATTTCAGTAGGATTGGTACCAGCTTTTCTTTGTACATCTGGTAGAATTTGGCTATGAATCCACCTGTTTCAGGGCCCTTTTTATTTGGTAGGTTTGTTTTTCAATTTCAGAACTCTATATTGATCTCTCCAGGGTTTTGATTTCTTCCTGGCTCAATCTTGGGGTGTTGTGACCTTCCAGGAATTTATTCATTTCCTCTAGAGTTTCTAGTTTGTGTGCATAGTGGTGTTCATAATAGTCTCTGAGGATTTTTTATATATCCGTGGGATTGGTTGTTATTTCACTTTTGCCATTTCTGATTGCACTTATTTAGATCTTCTCTTTCTTTGTTGTTAATTTAGCTGGTGTCCTATTGATCTGGTTGACAAGAACCAGCTTTCGGTTATTACTTTGCATGTATTTTTGAGTCTCAATTTCATTCAGTTCTCTAATGAATTTTGGTTATTTATTGTCTTCTAGCTTTGGGACTAGTTCTTGTTTTTCTAGTTCTCTAGGTGTGATGTTAGATTGTTAATTTGAGATCTTTCTAATTTTTTGATGTAGGTATTTAGTGATGTAAGCTTTCCTAACACTGCTTTAGCTGTATTCCAGAGATTTTAAAATATTGTGTCTCCATGCACACGTATGTTTATAGCAGCACTACTCACAATAGCAAAGACTTGGAACCAACCCAAATGTCCATCAGTGATAGACTGGATTAAGAAAATGTGGCATTTATATACAAAGGAATACTATGCAGCCATAAAAAATGATGAGTTCATGTCCTTTGTAGGGACATGGATGAAGCTGGAAACCATCATTCTCAGCAAACTATTGCAAGGACAAAAAAACCAAACACCACATGTTCTCACTCATAGGTGGGAATTGAACAATGAGAACACTTGGACACAGCAAGGGGAACATCACACACCGGGGCCTGTCGTGGGGTGGGCGGAGGAGGCAGGGATAGCATTAGGAGATATACCTAATGTAAATGACGAGTTAATGGGTGCAGCACACCAACATGGCACATGTATACATATGTAGCAAACTTGCACGTTGTGCACATGTACCCTAGAACTTAAAGTATAATAAAATATGTATATAAAAAAGTAAAAATAAAAAATAAAATATTGTATCTCTGTTTTTATTTATTTTAAATAATTTTCTAAATTTTTGCCTTAATTTTATTGTTTACCCAAAAGTTACTCAGAATAAAGTTATTTAATTTCCATGTAATTTTGTGGTTTTGAGAGAACTTACCGGTATTGATTTGTATTTTTATTCCACTATGGCCCAAAGTATAGTTTGTATGATTTTGAATTTTTTAACTTTATTGAGACTTGCCTGATGTCCAAGCATGTGGTCAATCTTAGCATATGTTCCATATGCAAATGAGAAGAATGTATATCCTATGGTTGCTGGGTGGAGTGTTCTGTAGATGTCTGTTATGTCCAATTGGTCAAGTGTCGAATTTAACTCCAGGATTTCTTTGTTAGTTTTCTGCCTTGATGATCTAACTCTGTCAATGGGATGTTGAAGTCACCCACTCCCATGGTGTGGCTAAGTATTTTTGTAGGTCTAGCAGTACTTGTTTTATGAATCTAGGTGCTCCAATTTTAGTTGCATATATATTCAGGATAGTTAAGCCATGTGGTTGGATCAAACCCTTTATCATTGCATAGAGCCCTTCTTTATCCTTTTTTGACTACTGTTGTTTTAAAGTCTATTTTATCTGAAATAATAATTGTAACCCCTGCTCTTTTTTGTCTTCTGTTTGGGTGATAGATCTTTCTCCTACCCTTTACCTTGAGTCTATCAGTGTCATCACGTGTAAGATGGGTCTCTTGAAGACAGCAGATGGGTGAGTCTTGTTTTTTATCCAACTTGCCACTCTGTGCCTTTGAAGTAGGGTGTTAAGACCATTCACATTCAAGGTTAATATTAATATGTGAGATTTTGATCATATCATAAAGTTGTTAGCTGGTTGCTTTGTAGTTTCTATTGTGTGGTTGCCATATAGGGTCTGTGGACTATGTAGTTAAGTGTGTTTTTGTAGTAGCAGTTATTATTCTTTCCATGTTTAGAAATCCATTATGGATCTCTTGTAAGGCTGGTTTAGTGGTAATGACTTCCCTTAGCTATTGCTTATCTGAAAAATATTTTAGTTCTTGTTAACTTATGAAGCTTGGTTTGGTGTTGTATGAAATTCTTGGTTGGAGTCTCTTCCTTAAAAAATGCTGAATGTAAGTCCCCCATAAGATTTCTGCTGAGAAGGCCCCCAATAAGTTTATAATGTTTCCTCTGTTTGCTGTTAGCCTGATGGGATTCCCTTTGTATGGGATCTAACCTTTTTTTCTAGCTGCCTTTAAAGTTTTTTCTTTAGCATTGACCTTGGGCATTCTGGTCACTATATACCTTGGTGATGTTCATTTTATATAGGATCTGGCAGGTCTTCTCTGGATTTATTATATCTGTATGTCTACTTCCCTAGCAAGATAAAGGAAAATTTCTCAAATTATTCCCTCAAATATGTTTTCCATGTTTTTTACTTTTTCTTTTTCTCTCTCATTAATGCCAGTCATTCACAGGTTTTGCCATTTTACACAACCCATGTGTCTTGGAGACTTTGTGCCAAGAATTTTAAGAATTTTTAAATTTCTTTTTTCTTTGTTTTTGTCTGACTGGGTAAGTTTGAAAGACCAATCTTCAAACTCTGAAATTCTTTCTTCTGTTTGGTCTAGTCTATTGGGAAAGCATTCAATTGTATTTTGAAATTCCTTAAGTGAGTTTTATAGTTTTCATTGCTCTGAATGATTTCTTTTTAAGATGTTTGCATCTTCTTTTATTTCCTGGATTGCTTTACAGGTTTCTTTGTACTGATTTTTAACCTTATTTTGGATCTCATTGAGTTTCCCTGTAATCCATACTTTGAATTCCTCCTCTGTCATCCTCCTGCCTCCATTTTGGTTAAGAACCATTGCTGGAAACCTAGAGTCAGCCTTTGATGATGTCAATCCATTCAGATTTTTAATGGTGGCAGAATTCTTGTGCTGGTTCCTTCTCATCTGGAGAGTGTTGTACTAGGTAGGGTCTTTGGGGTTGTTTCTATAGTCCTATGCACTTCTGTCAGCAGGTTTTGTGTTGGGCTGTGTGGTTTGACCTATGACTCAGGATATGGCATTTGCAGGTAAGAGTCAGCTGCCACACAAGTAGGTGGGAGGGGAGCTGACCTTTATTTACTGTGAGGTGCTCTCTGTTGTTTCAGGTGAAGGACTGGACAGTGGGGTGGGTGTCCAGTGTTCTGAGCTTCCTAATTTGTGAGGGTGGTGGGATATACCTGGGCAGAGCTGGAAACGTGGCTTTCCCACGAATATCTCAATGACAGGTGCAGGCACCAGCCCTGATGGGTGTGGCTAGGAGAAGCTCCTGATAAAATGTGCTGAGGTCTTCGTGAGCCCCCTCACTTCCTTGGTGAATCTTGACATGCTCTCTTAGAGAATTCACCTGAAGAGCTACTATTTACTTGCCACTTTCTTTCCTCTCTTTGAGAGTAGCATACTCTAGCTGCTTCCAGTCAGCCATCTTGAACCTCCATAACCATTTTGAAGATGCAAATTGTGGTAGCAGCTGCAGTCAAGAGATATTAAAAATAAGTTATGGCCGGGTGCGGTGGCTCACGCCTGTAATCCCAGCATGTTGGGAGGCTGAGGCAGACAGATCACAAGGTCAGGAGATAGAGACCATCCTGGCCAACATGGTGAAACACATCTCTACTAAAAATTCAAAAATTAGCTGGGTGTGGTGGTGCGCGGTCCTGTAGTCCCAGCTACTCAGGAGGCTGAGGCAGGAGAATCACTTGAACCCGGGAGGCAGAGGCTGCAGTGAGCTGAGATTGCACCACTGCACTCTAGGCTGGTGACAGAGTGAGACTCCATCTCAACAAAAAAAAAGGGATTCATTTATTCATTATCTTTTCTTTAGAATTAAGTTTAAGTTTTAAATACAGTATAAGAAATAGCTTTGGAAATAACTAAGGGTTCTACCCTAATTAAAATACATATAATTTAACTGGGTATGATGGCACATGCCAGCAGTCCTAGCTCCTCAGTATGCTGAGGTGGGAGGATGAGCCCAGGAGCCTGAGGCTGTAGTGAACCATGATCACACCTGTGAATCACCACGGCACTCCAGCCTGGGCAACATAGCAAGACTGTCTTTAAACAAACAAAACAAAATACACATCAGTATATGAGTGTTGACGAGTCACTTGGTAATGAGTTTCATATTTCTGCATTTTTCTTTTTCATCTGTGAGTTCTAGAAAGAAGTAGGAAAAACCACTATATCAAACAGCCTCTTTGGACTTTATTCTAAACCACGTAAAATCTCACCAGATTTCTTTGTGTGTCTCAGTAATTGATCTTAGAAATTATATCTGGAGGTGCAGGTTGAGGTATCCAAAGAGGAAAGAGTGGCAATATTTTGGGAGTTTCCAGTCAACAATAAAGGACCAAGAGTGTCCAGCACAGGAGTGGCCTCAGTGATTGAAGTAAGTGAATTCAGCTATAATTGAAGCTGGTAAGAGGGCCTTTTAAAAATTAAAAGTTGATACAGTACAAGAAAGCAAGTTACTGCTGCTTACCATTCAGAGACTTATGGGTGCTTGCCTGCATTATAATAAAAGAACTTAATTATTGAGCAAGACCTATATTTATCTCTTCACTTTGGACAGCCTAATAAACTATTATTACAGTTTCTCTATTGACTTTCAAACGTTTTGAAGTTTGAAAGACACCTTTGCAATTAACACAGCATGAGCACAACCAGAACAGAGAAAGCTGTTATAATGGGTCTGTCCAGTCAAAATGGTCAGCTGAGGGGTCCCCTGAAACCCAGTGGTGGCCCTAGAGGAGAGGCCACACAGACACAGCAACAGACGAACCAGCTGAAAAACACCAACACAATAATAGCACTCAACCACAAGCGCAGAGTATGACCACCACTATTAAGCCTGGTGATAATTGGAAGAAGACTTTAAAACTCCTTCCAAAGGATCTAAGAATCAAAATGTTGGATGTGACCTCTACAAGAGGATATTAATTTGAAGATTACTGTTTGAAACGGCAGTTACTGATGAGAATTTTTGAAATGGGATGGAAAAAGCCATCTCCTTTCCAAGAAGAGAGCATTCCCATTGCTTTATCTGGTAGGGATATCTTAGCTAGAGCAAAAAATGGAACAGGCAAGAGCAGTGCCCATGACATTCCCCTACTTAAAAGGCTAGACCTGAAGAAGGACACTATACAAACAATAGTGATTGTTCCCACAGGAGGACCTGCTCTACAGATCAGTCAAATTTGCATCCAGGTCAGCAAACACATGGGAGGAGTCAAAGTGGTGATGACCACAGGAGGAACCAATTCAGGAGATGACGTACTGAGGCTGGATGATACAGTGCACATGGTGATTGCTGCCCCTGGGAGAATCCTGAATCTTATTAAGAAAGGAGTAGCAAAGGTCAGTCATGTCCAGGTGATAGTATTGGATGAGGCAGATAAGTTTCTGTCCCAGGATTTTGGGCAGTTAATGGAAGATATTATTCTCATGCTACCTGAAGACAGGCAGATTTTACTACATTCTGCTACTTTCCCTCTTAGTATACAGAAGTTCATGAATTCCCATTTGCAGAAACCCTGAGACTAACCTGATGGAAAAACTAACTCTGAAGGACATAACCCAGTACTACGCATATGTAACTGAGCACCAAAAAGTACACGGCCTCACCACACTTTTCTCCAGGCTTCAGCTAAACCAGATGATCATTTTCTTTAACTGCTCTCAGCGAGTTGAATGGCCAGCCAAAATTTCTCAACTGGGTTATTTTTGTTTCTACATTCATGCTAAAATGAGGCAGGAACATCAAAATTGTGTATTTTATTATTTCTGAAATGGCTTATTCTCATTTGCACTGATCTGTTTACTTGAGGTATTGATATACAAGCTGTGAATGTGGTAATAAACTTTGACTTTTCAAAGCTAGAAGAGACCTATCTCCGTCATATTGGAAGACCAGGTCACTTTGGCCATTTTGGCTTAGCCATCAACTTGATCACATATGGCGATCACTTCAACCTGAAAGGTATTGAGGAGCAGCTGGGAAAAGAAATAAAACCTATTCCAAGCAACATTGACAAGAGCCTGCATGTGGCAGAATTCCACAGCAAGGCTGTAGAAAATGAGAAGCCTTAATAAGCACTCTTTGACAAACTGTGGAAGCCTTGTTTGGATCTATGACATACCATTTTTTAGAGAGGAGTGCTCTTCTCTTTGTGAGTTTTTCATCTTTTATTTCAGAACTATGAAGACTTAAAAGAGTTCAGAATTTTTTTTTTCCTTTTTTAACTGGTGAAGAGAAAAAAGCTGAAAAGAAGGAATATTCCTTTTTTTTTGTTCCATCTGTTTGCACTGTATGCTAAGTGAACATTAGTTGCACTAACTGCTGGTTTTAAAAAAATGTTTTCTGGGGAAAGGGGACAGGAAAGGAAAAGAAAGAAGGGGAGAAACCCTAAAAAGAGAAGAATCTTAATGAACACAAAAGCTTGTCTATTATTTCAAAATTCTCCAACATCTGACTCTCGAGGACATTTCAACTTCTCCCTAGTCATCCATTTTTTTTTAAGCCTGAGGAGCTTATTACTCATTTGTGTGAAGTGCTGTATGCTCTGAGATATTCAGAATATCATCTTTTAGACACAGACCAAAGAATCAACAGTAGTACTCTTTCTTTCCTTTATTCTTTAAAAAATTTTTGTCTTTTAATTTTGGTTTTAGGGTGAAGTCTCTGTTTTCTTTCTACCCAATACTGAAGCCCAGAGCTGGTAGATGAAACTTATTAGTCAGTTAAATACCATTTTCTTTTTCTTTATATTGGAGGAGTTGATATGCAGCTGCAGTTCATCCACACTGTAAACACATGTATTAAAAAAATCCCAACAGGGCATGGTGGCTCACGCCTGTAATCCCAGCACTTTGGGAGGCCGAGGCAGATAGATTATCTGAGGTCAGGATCTTGAGACCAGCCTGACCAACACAGTGAAACCCTGTCTTTACTAAGAATACAAAAAAATTAGCCAGGCGTGGTGGCAGGTGCCTGTAATCCCAGCTACTTGGGAGGCTGGGGCAAGAGAATTGCTTGAACCTGGGAGGCGGAAATTGCGGTGAACTGAGATCGTGCCATTGCACTCCAGCCTGGGCAACAGAGCAAGACTCCGTCTCAAAATAATAATAATTCCAAGTAAAAATTTATTCTGGTCTGAGTAGATAAAACATCAATGCTCCCAAAGGAAAAGCAGTCTATCATTGGAGGAGCCTTATGACAAGCCTTTGTGCTCTATAGCAAACACTAAAGACTGGTTTACATACGTCTCCAGTAACAATATGGCACTTGACTTGTAGACATGTCAGAACCTTGACCCTATTTCTTTTGTGGCAGAGTGTGTTGCGTTGAAAATTGAGTGTGTATACTTTTATCAACCTTGTAAATAAGTGTATATGTATATATACATATATATGATAAAGGTTGATGGGATTAAGGGGATTAGAGTGATTATGGGAGCAGCTAAAGATGAAGGGGCTCAGTTTACTCAGCACTAAATTCTAGAAAGCACTTTGGCCTCTTGCTGTAGAGAGCAGGTTTCTATGGTACCCTTGGTTAGGAAAGGGACACAGAAATCTGGGATGTCCTGTTTGCTCCCACACTGTCTCATCTAGTACCCCTGGAGGAGGCTTACCAGAGAGAGCAACGAAGCGTCAAAAATTGATAATTCAAGATTTTTTTTTTTTGAGAAGCTCTTTTATTTTGCTTCTTCACCCTTTCTAAAAGTTTAAGGAATTTTTCAAGCTCTCCAAAAGAGGGAAAAGATTAATCTACCATGCATCTACCTTGCAGTGTGGGGATTCTGTTGAGTGGTAGTATTGTTGAGCAGTACATGCATAAAGCACAGATTCGCATTTCATAGTATTAGCCAGTACCAGCTTTGGTGATGTTAGCAGTTCTGGAGCTTAATTTTCTATGGATCATCTGTAGTGTGTAAATGTATTGCCTTCTGCCCACCTTGATACATAAACTTTTGCAGGAATGGACAACCCCTGAGAACTGTTTAACTTTCATACCACACAAAGCTGCTTGCCATTCTCTTGTGTTATGACAATAATTGTTATCTGTCATTTTGTACTGTAAATTCCTGGCAAATGCTTTACAGTCAATAATGTTGCTTTAAATTGTTGCCCTCCCAACATGCTTGATGTTTGGCCTAATCTCCAGGCCAAAAGACTGAGATGAATCAAAACCAGTGAACTTTTTTTTAATGTTTTTGAATTCCCTTTTAACCCAGTGTACTAGGTCAATCAGAAGGCATCTGGGAGGAGAAAAAAAATCAAAAAATAATTTTTAAAAAATTGATTCCCATATTGCATTGATTTTTAAAAACCTAAAATATACACGTTTGTATTTAACTCATATGGACAAAGGGATTAATTATTTGAAGTTGCTTTTTTGACTCTGCCCACTTCTATTTTTTTTCCCAAGACAGAGTCTCACTGTGTCACCCAGGCTGGAATGCAATGGCATGATCTTGGCTCAGTGCAACCTCCGCCTCCCGGGTTCAAGAGATTCTCCCTGTCTCAGTCTCCCAAGTAGCTGGGATTACAGGTGCCCACCTGTAATACACCAGGTGTATGTGACTCACCCACAATTCCTTGGAGATCAAAATCCTACAGATGCCTCCTGATCAGACACAGCCCTAACTCTTCAACAACTGTGGCAAGAGCTGCACAGTACAAACCCAAAAAAGAGCAATCTCATTTATTTGGAATCCAAGTCACGTATGTTCTGTCCAGTCAATGTTGGTTACTAAATACAAACCTTAATTCAGGAAGTAACCTTTTTTTTTTTTTGCATGAAGCGCTGGGAGAGGGAATTTAAACGGTATCAACTTTTGACCAAAAAGTCTTGTTCTTGTACTGACGCAGCATTCTTTCTCCTACACCTCCTGCAAGAGGGATCATTAATATAGAAGAAATGCAAGGAAAGAGTGTAAATGTAATTCTGTATCTCGCTAAAAAACATGTGAGTGACCAATCAAAAGTTCAGTCTTCTTTTCCAGTCTTACACTGCTCTGCCTGGTGCTGAGTTCCTGTGGGTCCCTCTTAAAGTACAGACTTAAAATTGGAAGTATTGCTGAAGTATAACATCTAATGACGAGTGGCACTTAAACTATCTGGGACACCACTATTGGACACAGTGTTACAGAGGCAGCTGTCCAGCTTGTTGCTTGGTTCTTGAATATAAATCATGAAATGGAAATATGCTCTAAGGACTTGGTCAAAGCCTGGTCTTTTTTTTTGTCCCTCATATTAAGGAGGATTGTTACTACTGGAAAGTGTTTTCAGATTATTTCCAATATTGGAATGTATTTTTTAAAGTAATGGTAATATTTTTTCCAGTGGTTCATTTGGATGATAACTAGTTCCTATTTTTAATATTAAAACTATATTCAACTCATGGTTTAGCCTTTGGTTGCATCGTTGTGTAATGGGTTATGGACTGTCACACACCTTCCCACCTCTGGGCCTGTGTGTTTTCTCTCCCCGTATGTTCTGACGGGATGGAAACTTTTTTGTCTTTCCCTTAGGAAAGGAATAAAGTTATTCTAAAATGATCTTTTACTGAAGTAAGGGAGAGGGAAACCTAAATATACCTCTAAATTATTTCAAGTTGGTCCCAGTATCATAAGATGGGTTGGCCTGAAATGGTAAGAGGGTGGGGTTGGTTATCAGTATTTGTTTTCAGAATGAGGCGGGAGTGTCTTTCGTTTGCCACGTGCTTTGTGCTTGACACCTTCATGCTTGATTAGAACAAGACAACTCAGCATAAAGCCTTGAGTGTAAATTGTTAGAGTCAAAATATCTCATTCTGATAACTTAGTTTAACTGTTTTCTTTTTAATAGGGATGGGAGAAACCATACTTTGCCCCCAAAGGGAGAGTGTCTGCACTAAAAATGTAGAAACTCTTTGGAAGCTCATAACCTTATCAGACACTGCCTTTACCACACTCCTGACCTTCTAGATTAGTAACAAAAGAGATGAAATAAGTTCTTGGGAATTAAGCTATACTATCTTAATTTGAGAATTTTTTTCAATGTTCTAGGTATCTTTAAATGTGTTATTGTGGAATTATTTTCTTGCCAAATACCTTCGTCAAGCAAAAATTACTGGTCTCATGAGAGCTGAAGTAACTCAGCTCTTTGGCGAACTTCAGTGGACTTTGGTGAGCTCATAGCTCTACTTTACGTCTTTAAAAACAGTTTTTTTTAAAACTCTCAAATCTACTCTCAGATACTTTTAAACATATTGTTTCCTTAGAAGATTCAGGACTTTTTTTATTTTACGTCTTTCATACTGGAAGTCTGGACTATATGATAAAAATATTTCAATTTCGTACTCTTCTAACACCTGGAATTTGGAGCCCTTAAAATTTTCATATAGAAGGGAAATAGTTTAGTAAGTTATGGGGTTTTGTCATCCTTAGCATTGGTTCTCAAATTTTAGCAGACATTTGAGTTGCCTGAAGATCTTGTTAAAACATAAGGACCTAAGTCTAAGCCTCAAACTCATGAATTCTGATTCAGTAGGTCTGGAATGGCACTCATGAATTTGAATGCCTAACAAGCACCCAGGTACTGCTGCTGCTAGTCCAAGAGCCAAACTTGGAGAATCAATGCACTCTAAATCACATATTTCCAAAAAAGAAACAGGAACATTTAACCCTTTAAAAATTAATGGATCTCTAATGCCAGACCTCCTGGAAAACTAGAAGTCAGTACTTAACATTTTTTTATGCTACAAATTTGAGCCTTTGTGTCAAAATTAGATTTAGAACAGCTATTTTGGTCATAAATTATGATCTCTAACAATCAGAAATATCTACTGAAATATTCAAAAACAAATCTAGCAACAATATCTGCAAATCTCATATGATAGCTAAATCCATTAATATGTATATTAAAATTTTTGCAACAACTTTGTAAGTACTTAGAAATAAAGGTAAGTCCATAATGTTGTTTTATATTTTGGAGTTGTCTCACCATCTTGTATACACATTTTAGTATTTTTAATAATAATATAATTGTTACAAAAATTCCTCTGAAGCTATGTGGATATACATTATTTTTTTAAAGGCTACATAGCATTCTGCTCAGATAACAATTCACAATTTGCAGAAAAATTTTCTTTATTTATTTAACAAATATTTATTGATTGCCTATTGTATACCAGTCACTTTTCCAGTTTTTCATTATTATAAGCAGCATTAGTCAATGTTTTCTGTAATCATTATCACATTCAACAAACCAGGTTAAATAGCTCTATTAATATTTTTTCTTAATTATGAATAACATAACAACTAAGTGATAGCATAAGCGTATTTATAAATATGGCATTTTCTGCAGTTGGTTTTTTCCTTAAAATTAAAGAATATAAGATTATTCAGTTTAAGTTTATTTCTAAAACTGTATGCATTTAAATATTGATAAATTCCTCTCTAAAATTATTGTAAAATATTATATTGCTTCCAGTATTGTTCTCCCTCAGTCTAGCCAACATGAGGAATTTATCATTTGTTATTTTTTATACTTAATAATAGAAGGCATACTGTATCATATATAAGTACATAACAACTACAGTCAGATTGCTTGGGTTTAATTCTAGTGCTACCATTTATCCTTTGTGAGGTGACTTTAGTCGCTTAATCTTTCTGCATCTGTAAAATGAGCATATTGAATAAATAATTCTGTAAAGTGCTTAGCAGAGTGACTCAAAAATGGACACTTAATGGTGCTACATATTATGTCCATTAATGTTTTATTTAAAATTTTATTACAAAGAAATCATAGACAAGACAAACAAATGGGAACACATCCTATGCTCATGGATGGGTAGAATCAATATTTTGAAAATGACCATACTGCCAAAAGCAATCTACAGATTCAATGCAATTCCCATCAAAATACCCCCACCATTCTTCACAGAATTAGAAAAACAATTTTAAAATTGATATGGAACCTAAAAAGAGCCTGCATATTCAAAGCAAGACTCAGCAAACAGAACAAATCTGGAGGCATCACATTATCCAACTTCAAACTATACTGTAAGGCCATAGTCACCAAAACAGCACAGTACTGGTCTAAAAATAGGCACATAGACTAATGGAACAGAATAAATAACCCAAAAATAAAACCAAATACTTAACAGCCAACTGATCTTTGACAAAGCAAAGAAAAACAGGAAGTGGGGAAAGGACACCCTGTTCAACAAATGGTGCTGGGATAATTGGCAAGCCACATATAGGAGAATGAAACTGGATCATCATCTCTCACCTTATACAAAAATCAACTGAAAATGAGTCAAATACTTAAATCTAAGACCTGAAACCATAAAAACTCATGACATCAGAAAAACCCTTCTAGATATTGGCTTAGGCAACGATTTCATGACCAAGAACCCAAAAGCAAATGCAACAAAAACAAGGATAAATAGATAGGACTAAAAAGCTTCTGCACAGCAAATGAAATAATCAGCAGAGTTAACAGACAACTTACAGAGTGGGAGAAAATATTCACAATCTATACATCTGACAAAGGACTAATATCCAGAATCTACGAAGAACCCAAACAAATCAGCAAGAAGAAAACAAAGAATCCTATCAAAAATTGGGCTAAGGACAGGAATAGACAACTCTCAAAAGAAGATATACAAATGGCCGACAAGCATATGGAAAAATGCTCAACATCACTAATGATCAGGGAAATGTAAATCAAAACCACAGTGTGATACCACGTTACTCTTGCAAGAATGGCCATAATCAAAAATTCAAAAAATAATAGATGTTGGCGTGGATGTGGTGAAAAGGGAACACTTTTACACTGTTGGTGGGAATGTAAACTAGTATAACCATTATGGAAAACAATGTGGAGATTCCTTAAAGAACTAAAGGTAGAACTACCAGTTGATCCAGCAATCCCACTACTAGGTATCTATCCAGAGGAAAAGAAGTCATTATATGAAAAAGATTCCTTGCACACACATGTTTATAGCAGCACAATTTGCAACTGCAAAAATATGTAACCAGTCCAAATGCCCATCAATCAATGAGTGGATAAAGAACATATGGGAGATGTATACGTATACACCATGGAGTACTATTCAGCCATTAAAAGGAACAAAATAATGGCATTCACAGCAACTGAGATGGAATTGGAGACCATTATTCTAAGTGCAGTAACTCAGGAATGGAAAACCAAACATCACATGTTCTCATTCATAAGTGGGAGCTAAGCTATGAGGATGCAAAGGCCTAAGAATGACAGAATGGATTTTGAGGACTCAGGGGAAAGGGTGGGAGCAGGGTGAGGGATAAAAGACTACATATTGGGTACAGTGTACACTGCTTGGGTGATGAGTTTACCAAAATCTCAAAAATCACCACTAAAGACCTTATTCATGTAACCAAACACCATCTGTTCCCCAAAAACCTATTGAAATAAAAAATAAATTAAAAAAATTGTTTAATAGAAGGGGATTTAATATCTTTAAGTAGCACATCAACTAATAAATGTGAAAGAGATGGTAGACTTAGAAAATCACCATTTTGCTACAATTATAATAAAAATTATAAGCAAAAATTTAAGCAAAAATTATCAGTGAATACTTAAATGAGTAGGTCAAAGTTTGGGGAATAAAGAATATTTATGTATTGTCAAAGTACTTCTCCACAAATTACTTATAAATTACTAAGGGGAAAATAGTAAATTTATAATGGAGAAACCTGGCAGAACCATCTTAGCCAACTGATTATAGCTAATATCACCAGTAATGGGACAGATCAACATGTGCCTTCCGATGTAATGTGCTGAGAAGACAATCTCATGTCTATTTTCCTATATGACATTTATGACCTAGATCTAATCAGAGGAAATATCAGACAGACCCAAACTGAGTGACATTCTACAAAATAACAGGAACTCCAAGCTGCCAACGTTATAAGAGAAAAGACTGAGGAGCTAATCCAGATTAAAAGACCCTCAAAGGACATGACCACTAAGTGAAATTTTTATTCCTGAGTTGAATTTTAGACTAGGAAATAAAATCAATATAGGATATCATTTGGATAATGGATTAAATTTGAATATTGACTCTGGATGACATAATATTATTGTATGAATGGTATTTTTTTATTATTGGTCATTTTACTAGTTATGCAAGAGAATGTCTGTTCTTAGGAAATACACATTGTTCAAAAGGTTAAAAAAATGTTTATTAAAAGAGTAAATGATAAAGCAACTAGGGCAAAAATGTTAATAATTTGTGAATCTGGGTAAAGGATATATGAGTATTATTTGTTCTATTCTGATAATCTCTATGTAACCTTGAAATTATGTCAAAATAAAATGTTTAAAAATAAATAAATAAATAGATAAAATTTTATTACACAAAATTGTCCAGGAAATAGGGAAGAAGAAACACTTCCAATTTGTCTTATGAGGCCAGTATCAACTTGATAACAAAATTAAACGAAGACATTATACACACACACACACAGACATACACACAGACGAAAAATAACTTTAATCATTCCAATAGATACAGCAAAACATTTGAAAAAATTTAACATTTACTAAAGATAAAATCGCTGAATTACTGAGCATACTCAGATGAAAAGGGAATGTTTGATCTGAAGAAAAGACTCTACATAAAAGCTACAGTATATATCATACTTGATGAAATACTTTAAATTTCCACTATAGGTTAAGAAATAAGATAAGAATGACTACTGTCAATATTTCTTCTCAGTAGCCCAATAGAGCCAGGAAAATGACAAAGAAGGTATAAAATTTGAAAATAGATGATGTGGTTGGGTACATAAAGATCTGGAAAGGAAATATACCTAAACTATTAGAATTAAATAGTAAACTAAATAAAATACAAAGGCCATAAAATTTTAGTAGCATCAAAAGCCTCCCAATATTTAGGAACAAATTTAATTAAATATTGGCAAAATCTCTACATTGAAAACTACAAACGATTACTAAAAAAATTTTAAATAGACAAATAAATCAAGGAATATTACATTTTTATAAAGTGGAAGTTTCAATATTGCTAAGAAGTCAATTCTTCCCAAATTTATGTTTAAATTCATTGTGATTCTCAGTAAAATGCAAGCAGGTTTTTGGCTTTATGGAAATTCACAAAATGATTCTATTAATATCTAAATGCATGCAACCAAAAGCCACAATGACATGAAGAAAAACCAAGTTGGAGAAGTCACACCACTGGATATCAAAACTTACAAAGCTATGATAACTAACTAGAACTATGGCATAGAATCAAGTATCAAGAATCACATCACATTTAAACATCACCAAATTTATGACAAATATGCTAAACTGATTTTAATGATAATTTTAGCCATAAATACTTACATTAAAAAAGAAAAAAATAAATGTTAACTAGCTAAGTCTCTAATGTGAAAAATTACAAATACAAATGGAAAAATTTCAAAATAAGTGGAAGAAATGATACAGTGTTACGATAAGAGCAAGAGTTATTGAAATTAAGAACAATAGAGGGAAAGATATTAAATGTCAAATTTCTGGCAAAATCTTTTAAGAATAATAGCTGATAATGCACAAATTAATAATATTAGGGATTGAAAGGAAATGTAACTTCAGGTAACCACAAAAATAAGATAAGATAAAAGAATAAATTATGAAACGTTATGCCAATAGGTTTGAAAAAATAGTGAATATAATTTAGTAATGATGAAGAACAATTTAAAAAAATATACTGGCTTCCTTGCTATTAATTATACATTCTAAGAATGCTCCTATCTCTGGACTTTGCATTGGTTTCTCTGCTTGGAATGTTTTTCCTCAGATACTCAATTAGCTAACTGTATTTAAGCTTTATTTTTACATGTGGTGCTATTAGTGAAAACTTTACAATATGAAATAGTTTGTTTCCTGCACTATGTCACTTGCCTTGCTTTCTTTAGCTCTGTAATGTGTGTTGCCATCTAACCCGGTTCATGCTTACATGTTTATTTGTTAGTGGTTTCTCTACCACTATAGATTGCACTTCATGAATATGAAAACTTTGTCTAATTCATCACTACTGGATTTTCAGTTGGAGTTCCAATAAATTCACATGAATAAATGATGAATAAAAGAATTAAAACTGTATGATGGTCTTAATAGACATAGGAAAAAGAAACATTGCATACAAGTCAGCATATATTTATGATGAAAAGTTTAGCAGACCTGAAATAAGAAGGGACTTTGTCAATTTAATAAAGGCTCCTGGGGTAGATCAGTACTTTAGTGGGCTCAAGGAACCATGCCCCCAGTACTCACGTTTGTTTCACAATGACTTACTCCACAGTTGGCCATGTGATAAGTTTGACCAATGTGACAGATCTAAGCAGAGGCTTGATAAATGGTTGTACCTGTGGCTTATATTCTTCAAACACCGGTTCTTCAGATTATCCTTGGAACCTAGCCATCATTTTGTGAGGAGCCCAACCTAGCCATGTAGAAAGGTCATATGGAGAACCATATGGAGGACCAGCCAACAGCTCTAGCTAGACTTCTAGGTAAAACCTAATACTAACTTTATTGGAACAGTGGCAAGCTGTCTTTACCAAGCTCTGCTAAAGTAAATAAGTTAAATAGTTATTGTTTGAAGTCACTGTTTTGGGATGTCTCCTTATACAAAAATAGATAAATGAAACAGTTGTCCATCTAAAACCTAGGTCAAAACATGTACTCAGTGAGAACAAGACATGACTGCCACTTGTTATCACTTTAATTCCACACTGTTTTGATTGTTTTAGCTGGTGCATTAAGATAAAGAAAATTCATAGGAACTAGAATGGAAGTTTAAAAACTTTCCTTAATTATAGGAGCTATATTTCCCTACTTAAAAAAATCCCTGGCCGGGCGCGGTGGCTCATGCCTGTAATCCCAGCACTTTGGGAGGCCGAGGCGGGTGGATTACGAGGTCAGGAGATCGAGACCATCCTGGCTAACACAGTGAAACCTCGTCTCTACTAAAAATACAAAAAAATTAGCCGGGCGTGGTGGCAGGCGCCTGTGGTCCCAGCTACTCCGGAGGCTGAGGCAGGAGAATGGCGTGAACCCGGGACGTGGAGCTTGCAGTGAGCTGAGATCGCGCCACTGCACTCCAGCCTGGGCCACAGAGCGAGACTCCGTCTCAAGAAAAAAAAAAAAAATCCCTAAGAATCTGCAGATAAAACATTAGAAAAATGAGATAATTTAGCAAATCCCTTGGCCCAGGTATCAAATTGGTATATTTCTATATACCAGCAACAAAGAGTAAAATGTAGTTTGGAAAACATAATTTTGATAACTACCAAAGTAATAATGTCCAGATGTAAATCTAATAGAACATAGAAAAGCTTTACACAGAATATTATAAAACTTTACTGAAATACATTAGAGAAGATCTAAATAAACATGGATATTTACCTTGATAATGGTTGAGGAGTTATCTTTAGTAACTTTATTTTTTTGCTAACATATAGAGTCAATGAAATTTTAATTAAAAGATACTTTTAATTTATAAAAAAATTTATTGCACCAATTCTCACATTTATGCAAAGAGGGAAGAGTGCAAGATAACAAAAAAAAGTAAAAAAAACAGGAATAAAATTCAGAGATTTGTTCTAATAGCAAGATTTACAATGTATAGGAAATAAGACAGTACAGTGTTAGCACAGGAACAGACAGGTAGATGAGTGGACAAAAAGAGAGGACACCAAAGAGATCTGTGTGTGTGTATATATATATATATATATATATATATACATACACACACACACACATTGCAAGTCAGTAAATGGCACTGGGGCAATTGGTTTTCCACATTAAGAAAAGAAAGATAAATAGATTGAAATATTTCTCACTATGAGTGTATCTAAAAATGAGTTTCAGGTGGATTAAAGATTGAAATATTAAAGTCAAAACTTTAAAACTTTTTAAAGTACCTATAAAGTGATTATCTTTATGTCCTTGGGAGTGGAAAACATTCCTTAACAAAAGAACTAAAAAAGACTTTAGCATAGAGAGAAAGACTTATTTTAATAATTCTGCAATCTAAAATTAGAGCATCTTCACATCAAAGGAAACCACAGAATGAATGAAAAATCAGGCTACAGAAGGGAAAGGGATATCTGCCACTTCTATTAAGTGGCACAGTTTAGTATTCTAAAGAGACACATAATTCCCTTAAAAATAAGAAAAAGAAAATGGCCAAAATGAAAATGAGCAAAAGTCTGCAAACAAATCCAAATGCCTAGTAAACACACAAACAAAAATGTCTAATAAGATAGAAAAAGGAAATTAAAAGTAGAGTGTGCTGTATCTGTCAGTATCCTTAGAGTAGTAACTCGTTGGATAAGTATGTAAAGCTCTGAGAGCTCATATACAAGGTTGGTAAGGGTGTAAATTGCTAAACCTACTTTGAAGAATGATTTCACATTATATCAGGAAGCTTTAGATGTCAAAGGCAAAAACATAATTTTTCAGAAATGTATAGTGGATACCTTTTAGAAACAGGGAAGTAGGAAAAGGAGCCTAGAGCTGCGCATAAAGGGAAATAAAATACGCTCATAAAGAATTATGCCTTTAAAAGTTATTGGACTCAAATCTTATGAACTATTAATGGTTATTGCTTTAACCATTATTATGAAGTATGAATTTCAGTTGCATTGTTTTTTGTAATCTTCCTTCTGAGGGTAAAAATCAAACAGAAAGAGTTATAAACGTAGGGATTCTGTTTATAATGCTATGACTTTTGGTCTCAAGTTGTGTCATGTGTCTTTAGGGAAAGGCTGGCATTCCTTCCCTTTCCTTTCTTATTCTTTCATTTTCTTTTCTTTCATTTATTTATTTCTTTCCTTTTCTTTCCATCCCATTCCTTTCCTTTTATTTTCCTATCTCTCTCTGTAAACATGTAAGAATGCATGCATATTCACTGCACTACTCTGGTAGTGTCTTACTGATATATTCCTGTCCATTTATAAATCAAAATAGAAAGCTGCTATAATTTAACAACATGGACAGCATTGAAAGGTATGGATAATAGGACAATTTTAACTCATGTGTTGATGTGATAATATATCTCATAGAACGTCAACTCAAGAAAGATATAAGACATGGCATAATGTGTTATGTGCATATTTGTGTCCCTGTTAGTATTGAAAAGTTATCATATTAAAAATGAACAAAGGGAAAAAGTGCATGAGGTGCCGGGAGTCTAGGAGAAACCAGGAATAAGCTTCCAGGTGTTTTCTTCCAGTGAGTTACATTGATGTGCTTAATTGTGCCATCAATGGTACGATAACACATGCAGAATAATGCCAACCAGGAAGTTCACTCAAGTTTGATGTAGAAGGTTTTTATGGGGGATCAGTCAGGTAGGCATACGGCACCTGTGTAACTGACCTCAGCTACTCAGACCCCAGCCCACCAGAGCAAAAATAGGCACCATAAATCACCTTGTTAGCATAATCTATCTGATCAAATTTATATTGTGACCCAATAAAACAAATTATTTTAAAAAAAACATTTTATTAGGCAGGATATTCAAAGAACTTAGAGCTCCTCTTCCAGGAGCCTGCCAAGGGCCAGTCCTGAATATAGGCCTTTCTTGGGAATATACAGGGTTCTGCAACACAGACATGAAAAGTTAACCCTTTTCTGCATAATGGTTGACTGATATATTTTGATATATCAGATGCGTTAGGTCTTTTGCAACTGAAAAAAAGAGAAGCAAAACTATATTCATAAAATAATATCGAATTTTTCCTTAAAATACCATAGTGGTAAAGAATGAAAACTTGGGGGCCAAACTGCCTGAGTTTGAGTCCCAGGTTAGCTAGTAGTTTGCTAGTGACTGTAGATAAGTTGATTAGTGACCTGTGCCTTAATTTCCTTATCTTTAAAATAGGAATATCAATATTATTTGCCTCACAAGATTTATTGTAAATGTTGAACACAATAATACCTTTGAAGCCTAGAATAATCCTTGGCATAAGTAGTACTTATTACATGTCATTATTATTATTATAGTTTTATTATATGCTAGCACAGGCATAAGAAAGCAGATCGAGAGATATGAGCAAAAAGTGTTCCAAAAAGTTAAAAGCGAAAAAACAAAAATAAAAAAACACCTCAAGCTATTTAGGCTATTTTATAAAGAGAGAAGTGTTATGATTTTGTTAAGATAGTAACATTAGGGAAACAAGGTGAGGGATAAAAAGAGAAGCCTCTGTATTGTTTTTACAAATTTTTTACAGGTTTAAAATTTCTCCAAAGTTTAAAAGTGAGGTAACATTGTATTCTATTTGAGTAGTAAGTATTAGAAAGCAGGGTAGTGCCAAGAATTGGGACAGGTGAGGAAATGACAGGAACACGTCTGCCCCGCTGGTAGGAGTGTAGCCTCATGGAAGCATTCTGGAGCACATTCTGGGTATAAAAATTCAAATTAAGTCTCTCATATATTGGACCTGAGCAATTTTGCTTCCAGGTATATATCCCAAATAAATCCTTACACAGGTCCATAACAACAGTTGTTTGGCATAATTTATGGTAATGGGGAATTAGAAGCAACCCAGATGTCCATCAACGGGAGAGCAGATTTGCGAAGGTTGAGGATGTACAACATCAAAAAAATGCAGTTTTTAGAAAAAGTGGGCTAGATGTAGACATTGTAACGTGATAGCTCTTAAAAGTAGTGTGCTGAGTGAAAAAAAGTAAGAAACTGAATAAGATTATAATGTAATACTATTTTATAGAATAAAATATCCTAAAACAACAATACTAATAGAAATTAAGAGCCCATAAAATGTTACACATGAAACTTATAATAATTGTTTTCCTTAGGGGGAATGGTAGTAGAAACAGACAGGAAAGAAATGTTTTAAATAAAGTAAGATGAGAGAGATCGTGCACATATTAATGAGGACAGGGTGCCATGAACTGATAAATGTAATGAACTCAACCTTCTGCACTTGAGATCCAACCACATAATAAAAGGAAAAAAGAAATAATATATGCAATTTTGTCTATATATATATCAAAATTAAAATAGTGATAACCTCTAGGAATCACTATTAAAGAGGAAATTCTTATTTTAATGTTATTTCTACAACATTTGAAACAATTTAAGGAGCATGAAGTGTAATTTTTGTATTCAAAACTTAAAATGTGAATAATTAGTAATAAATTTAATAAAGGAACAAGACTGCCTCACTGAAAGCCATGTAACGTTACTGAAAGAAATTAAAGACCTAAAAAATGGGAAGCTATGTTGTGTTTATGAATTAAATGACTCAATATTAAGACTTCTATTTTCTCAGAAATGATCTATAGATTTGATGCAATCCTAATAAAAATGCCAGCATGCTTCTTTTTAGTACGAATTAACAAGCTAATTCTAAAGTGTATATGGAAATGCAGAAGACTTGGAAAATCAAAGCCTAGAAAATCAAAAGATTAGAGGCATTAAACTACCTGACTTCAAGAATTGTTATAAAGGGCACGGCGTGGTGGCTCATGCCTGTAATCCCAGCACTTTGGGAGGCCGAGGTGGGCGGATCACGAGGTCAGGAGATCGAGACCATCCTGGCTACCACGGTGAAACCCCGTCTCTACTAAAAATACAAAAAAATTAGCCAGGCATGGTGGTGGGCGCCTATAGTCCCAGCTACTTAGGAGGCTGAGGCAGGAGAATGGCGTGAACCCAGGAGGCGGAGCTTGCAGTGAGCCGAGATGGTGCCACTGCACTCCAGCCTGGGCGACAGAGCAAGACTCCGTCTCAAAAAAAAATCGTTATAAAGTTGCTGAAATCAGTATGGTATGGTATTAGTTAAAAATAAACACATAGATCAATGAAAAAGAATAGTAAGCCCATATATTGACAAGGTGCTAAGGCAAATCAATGGGGGAAAATAATGTCTTTTCAATAAATCACACTAAAAACTATATATCTGTATAGAAAAAGAATGATCATTAACACTCACTTTATACTACACTCAAAAATTAACTCAATAAGGATCACAGACTTAATTAATATAGAAGCTAAAACTATTCATTTTCTAAATGGTCACATAGAAAAATATCTTTATAATTTTAGGCCGGGCGCGGTGGCTCATGCCTGTAATCCCAGCATATTAGGAGGCCAAGGCAGGTGGATCATTTGAGGTGAGGAGTTCAAAACCAGCCTGGCCAACATACTGAAATCCCATCTCTATTAAAAATACAAACAAACAAACAAAAAAGACAGAAAGAAAGAAAATGAGCCAGCATAGCAGCACACACTTGTAATCTCAGCTACTTGAGAGTCTGAGGCACGAGAATTGCTTGAACCAGGAGGCGGAGGTTGCAGTGAGCCAAGATTGCACCACTGCACTCCAGCCTGGGTGACAGAGTGAGACCCTGTCTCAAAAGAAAAAAAACTTTGTAATTTTAAAGAAGGTATTTTTGGAAGATAGGACACCAAACATGAATTATAAAACACAAAGTTGATAGATTGAACTACATCAAAATTTTTAAAGTTTTACTCTCCAAAAGAACCTGATGGAAAAAAAAGACAATCACAGGAGATTAGAAAAAACATCTGTAATACGTGTATCTGACAAAAGATTTTTATCCAGTATATATACATATATACACACATATGTAAATGTCTTCATAATAGAAAGATTAACAACTTGTTTTAAAAATGGGCCAAGTGTCTGAGCAAAAACTTCACAAATGAAGACACACAAATAACTAATAAGTCCATGAAAAGATGTTCAACCTTGTTGAACAGGGCAATACAAAATAAACTCATCGATATATATCACCATGAATGTGTTTAAAAAGCTAAAAGTTTTTCAAAACACCTGACAAGGTAGCCAAGATGGTCTTGATCTCCTGACCTCGTCATCCGTCCACCTCGGCCTCCCAAAGTGCTGGGATTACAGGCGTGAGCTACCACGCCCAGCCCTTTATAACAATTCTTGATTATCTAGGGAATATAATATGGAACAACTACTTTAGAAATCAGTGTGGGTGGCTGGAAAGATGGTGGAATAGAAACA
The DNA here is from genome assembly GCF_000001405.40 of Homo sapiens. Lineage (NCBI taxonomy): Eukaryota > Metazoa > Chordata > Mammalia > Primates > Hominidae > Homo > Homo sapiens. Next base: position 622,094 of record NT_167249.2, on the reverse strand, counting down.
GCTTCGGTCTGCAGCTCCCACTGAGATCAATGCAGAAGCCAGATGATTTCTGCATTTCTAACTGAGATACCCGACTAATCTCACAGGGACTGGTTAGACAGTGGGTGCAGCCCAGGGAGGGCTAGCCGAAGCAGGGTGGGGCATCGCCTCACCCGGGAAGCGCAAGGGGTCAGACAACTCCCTCCCCTAGCCAAGGGAAGCCATGAGGGACTGAGCCATGAGGAACAGTGCACTCCAGCCCAGATACTACGCTTTTCCCATGGATTTCGCAAACCACAGAACAGTAGATTCCCTTGGGTGCCTACGCTACTGGGGTCCTGGGTTTCAAGCACAAAACTGGGCGGCTGTTTGCGCAGAGACTGAGCTAGCTGCAGGAGTACAGCTAAGGCAGTGTTTAAAGGGAAATTTATAGCACTAAATGCCCACAGGAGAAAGCAGGAAAGATCTAAAATCGACACTCTAATATCGCAATTAAAACAACTAGAGAAGCAAGAGAAAACAAATTCAAAAGCTAGCAGAAGACAAGAAATAACTAAGATCAGAGCAGAAATGAAGGAGATAGAGACACACACAAAAAAATTCAAAAAATCAATGAATCCAGGAGCTGGTTTTTTTGAAATAATTAACAAAGTAGACTGCTAGCCAGACTAATAAAGAAGACAAGAGAGAAAAATCAATAGACACTATAAAAATGATAAATGGCATATCACTGCTGATCCCACAGAAATAGAAACTACCATCAGGGAATACTATAAACATCTCTATGCAAATAAACTAGAAAATCTAGAAAAAATGGATAAATGCCTGGACACATAAACCCTTCCAAGACTAAACCAGGAAGAAGTCTAATGCCTGAATAGACCAATAACAAGTTCTGAAACGGAGGTAGTAGTTAATAGCCTACCAACCAAGAAAAGCCCAGAACCAGACAGATTCACAGACGAATTCTACCGCAAGTACAAAAAGGAGCTGGTACCATTCCTTCTGAAAATATTCCAAACAATAGAAAAAGAGGGAATCCTCCATAACTCATTTTATGAGGCCAGCATCAACCTGATACCAAAACCTGGCAGAGACACAACAAAAAAAGAAAATTTCAGGCCAATATCCCTGATGGACATTGATGTGAAAATCCTCAATAAAATACTGGCAAACCGAATCCAGCAGCACATCAAAAAGCTCATCTACCATGATCAAGTCAGCTTCATTCCTCGGATGCAAAGCTGATTCAAATATGCAAATCAATAAATGGAATCTATCACATAAACAGAACCAATGACAAAAACCACATGATTATCTCAATAGATGCAGAAAAGGCCTTCGACAAAATTCAGCAGCCCTTCATGCTAAAAACTCTCAATAAACTAGATATTGATGGAATGTATCTCAAAATAATAAAAGCTATCTATGACAAACTCACAGCCAATATCATACTGAATGGGCAAAACCTGGAAGCATTCCCTGAGAAAACTGTCACAAGACAAGGATGCCCTCTCTCACCACTCTTATTCAACATAATGTTGGAAGTTCTGGCCAGGGCAATCAGGCAAGAGAAAAAAATAAAAGGTATTCAAATAGAAAGAGAGGAATTCAAATTGTCTCTGTTTGCAGATGACATGATTCTATACTTAGAAAACCCCATCGTCTCAGCCCAAAATCTCCTTAAGCTTATAAGCAATTTCAGCAAAGTCTCAGGATACAAAATCAATGTGCAAAAACCACAAGCATTCCTATACACCAATAATAAAAAAAACAGAGAGCCAAATCATGAGTGAACTCCCATTCATAACTGCTACAAAGAGAATAAAATACCCAGGAATACAACTTACAAGCCATGTGAAGGACCTCTTCAAGGAGAACTACAAACCACTGCTCAAGGAGAGAGGGCACAAACAAATGGAAAAACATTCCATCCTCATGGGTAGGAAGAATCAATATCATGAAAAATGGCCATACTGCCCAAAGTAATTTATAGATTCAATGCTATCCCCATCAAGTTACCATTGACTTTCTTCACAGAATAGGAAAAAACTACTTTAAATTTCATATGGAACCAAACAAGAGCCCACATAGCCAAGATAATCCTAAGCAAAAAGAACAAAGCTGGAAGCATCATGCTACCTGACTTCAAAGTATACTACAAAGCTACAGTAACCAAAACAGCATGTTACTGGTGCCAAAACAGATATATAGACCAACAGAACAGAACAGAGGCCTCAGAAATAATGCCACACATCTACAACCATCTGATCTTTGACAAACTTGACAAAAACAAGCAATGGGGAAAGAATCCCCTATTTAATAAATGCTGTTGAGAAAACTGGCTAGCCATATGCAGAAAACTGAAACTGGACTCCTTCCTTATACCTTATACAAAAATTAACTCAAGATGGATTAAAGGCTTAAACGTAAGACCTAAAACCATAAAAACCCCAGAAGAAAACCTAGGCAATACCATTCAGGATTTAGGCATGGGCAGAGACTTCATGACTAAATCATCAAAAGCAATGACAACAAAAGCCAAAATTGACAAATGGGATCAAATTAAACTAAAGAGCTTCTGCACAGGAAAAGAAATCATCAGCAGAGTGAATAGGCAACCTACAGAATGGGAGAAAATTTTTGTAATCTATCCATCTGACAAAGGGCTAATATCCAGAATCTACAAAGAATTTAAACAAATTTACAAGAAAAAAACAAACAACCCCATCAAAATGTGGGCGAAGGATGTGAACAGACACTTTTGGGATTCTCCAGGTTCAAGCGATTCTCCTGCCTCAGCCTCCTGAGTAGCCGGGATTACAGGTTCATGGCACCACGCCCAGCTAAGTGTTTGTATTTTTAGTTGAGATGGAGTTTCACCATGTTAGCCAGGATGGTCTCAATCTCCTGACCTCGTGATCTGCCTGCTGCGGCCCCCTAAAATGCTGGGATTACAGGCATGAGCCAATGCCCCGGCCTGACAGACACTTTTTAAAATAAGACATTTATGTGGCCAACAAACATATGAAAAAAAGCTCATCATCACTGGTTATCAGAGAAATGTGAATCAAAACCATAATGAGATACCATCTCATGCCAGTTAGAATGGCTATCATTAAAAAGGCAGGAAACAACAGATGCTAGAGAGGACGTGGAGAAACAGGAACACTTTTACACTGTTGGTGGGACTGTAAACTAGTTCAACCATTGTGGAAACAGTGTGGCGATTCCTCAAGGATCTAGAACCAAAAATACCATTTGACCCAGGAATCCCTTTACAGGGTATATACCCAAAGGATTATAAATCATTCTACTATAAAGACACATGCACACGTATGTTTATTGTGGCACTGTTCACAATAGCAAAGACTTGAAACCAACCCAAATGCCCATCAATAATACACTGGATAAAGAAAAGGTGGCACATATACACCCATGGAATACTATGGAATACTATGCAGCCATAAAAAAGATGATTTCATGTCCTTTGCAGGGACATGGATGAAGCTGGAAACCATCATTCTCAGCAAACTAACACAAGAACATAAAACTAAACATTGCATGTTCTCACTCATAAGTAGGAGCTGAACAATGAGAACACATGGACACAGGTAGGGGAACATCACACACTGGGGCCTGTTTGGGGGTGAGGGGGTAAGGGAGGGATAGCATTAGGAGAAATACCTAACGTAGTTGACAGGTTGATGGGTGCAGCAAACCACCATGGCATGTATATACCTACGTAACAAACCTGCAAGTTCTGCACATGTACCCCAGAGCTTAAAGTATATAAAAAAAAGAAAAAATCTCATGTGGCAGATTAAAGAAAAAAAAACTTACTAAGGTATATGCATATGTAGATATTATAACCATTAATTCAAAAAAGTCCTATAAAAACATTCCCCATTACTGAGCAATTGCTTATTCCCTTTGTCATTAAAACATGCACTTTGATTTACTTCAAAACTGAGGGGACTAGTCCAGTTTTGTACTCTTGTAAATTATGAGTCTTTCTTGAAGAAATCTGCAGCATTACACAAAATTGAATCAGATATTCAGATTCACAAGATTTGTGCCTCCTTATCTCACACATTCATAAGTTGGAACTCTTCATTTGCAGTTTATCTATATTCTGTTTCATGGAACTAGGGAGCATCCCCTGCCTAACTCTGTAAAACCAATTTGTCAAACTCTTGTACAGATCAGAAAAGTAAAGGAATTAATATAAATACCTCCAGTAATAGGGATGCACAAGGGTGATGACAATTTTATTAATGGATTATAGTAGTATATGCTTATATTTATAGATTATACACATCACACACACACATAAACATACACACTCACATTTGGGTAATAATGCATTTGCCATCAGTAAGGAACATAAATGACCTTATTGTTTGAGTCAGACAAATATTAATTTGAATCAGAGCTTAACTACCATTTATTTGAGAAATCTCAGGAAAATTAACTAATCCTTCCTAAATTTATTGTTCCTATTGGCAAAATGGGGACAATATGTTATAGCTAGAAGAGTTGTTTTCTTGAGTCAAAAAAATGTATATATATAAAGCACTTGATACTTACTAGGGGCTGAATAAATTGTTGAAATCACCACTGTAATAATAGTAAAAGAACTTAATATGAATACTTAATATGGATAGAAAACTAGGAGGCCCACTGGAAATACCATATATGCACCATAATATTAACCCAGTTAGCTTCATCTATCTCCAACCTTATTTGTTAATAACAAGTTTTAAATTATACAGGCCAGACTCCAAACTAATTGTCTTTCTCCTTCATTTCAGAAAAATTTTCCAAAGATGACTTAAAATAACACTTGAATTGGAGGGAGGAAGGAAAGCTAATATTATTAGAGCACAACATCTTAAATTTTAAAGAATTATATTTGAGAGGAATATATACAATAGACAGCTTGGAAGAGCGTTCTGGGAAGAAATAAGATTCACCTCTCTTCCAATCTGAAACATAATAACAATGCCTTTCATTTGTATGGTTCTTCAGAGTTTAAACATGGCTTTTAAGCACATTTTTCTCTGAGGAAGCTCTTCCTTTGACAGCATCTTCCTCAGTGCTGCCTTCATGGAATCATTCCGTAAGCTATAAATGACTGGATTGAGTGTTGGAGGTATCACAGTATAGAATACGGAGAATACAAGGTCCACAGTCGATGAGGAATCAGAAGGCAGTCTGAGAAACTCAAAGCCTGCAGCTGAAAGAAAGAAGGTGGCTACAAATAGGTGTGGTAGGCAGGTGGAGAAGACCTTGGTCCGGCCCTCAGCTGATGGGATTCTCAGCACTGTAGAGAAGATGCGAATGTAGGAGAGCACAATGGAGATCAAACAGATAAATGCTGCAGACGTTGTGAATGCAGCCAGTGCAATCTCATTAATGAATTCATAAGAACAGGCTAGTTTCAGCATCTGAGGAACATCACAGAAGAATTGGTGAATGACTCTCTTCCCACAGAGAGGTATGGAGAAGTTAATGGCAGCATGCATGAGCCCAGAGAGGCCCCCAGCAATCCACACAGCTATCACTGCATGCCTACAGGCACGGGGATCCATAATAGTCTCATAATGAAGTGGTTGACAGATTGCTGCGTACCTGTCATAAGACATCACTGTGAGAATGGCCACTTCTGATGAGGCCAGAGCTATGAAGAAGAAAACCTGAAGAATGCACTGAACAAGAGAAATGTAACCGTTGCCCATAAGTGAATTTGCAATGGACTGGGGGACTGTGACAGAGATGAAGCAGAGGTCCAGAAGAGAGAGGTGCTTTAAAAAGTAATACATGGGGGAATGGAGACGACGGTCCACGGTAATGATGGTGATAATGAGGAGGTTGCCTGTCAAGGCCAGCAGGTATGTCACCAGAAATACCAATGCATGTAAAATCTGAAGCTTACGCTCATCAGAAAACCCCATAAGAAGGAATCCACTCGTTGAAGTCAAATTGACCATAGTCTCTCTGAAGATACCAAGTGTGACTCTGTTTAGGAAGCCAAAGACAGTAGGAAGAAAATGCATGACATCTAATATATTTGTGTGTCAAGTAACTCAATTCCTCAGCATGGAGGTATTGAAATGAGATGAATTTATTTTCATTGCGATTAGTTAATATTCAATTCAAAAACGTTTTAGCAATTATTCAGAAATAGAATCCCTGAATGTGATCAACAAGTCATAAACATTTTCTGGAGCAGAGTTTGCATTGTCAAAGAGGGAGAAATTGATGGAAATGATAAAGTCTTTACCTTCAATAAAGTCAATGAAAATGATTCTAGCATACCAATCTCATTACATCTTCTATATGATGCCTTAGTATTACAACGATGCACTATATAGCTTCTTTTGCTAACCAGCTAACATGAAGTTATTGATACCACCTTGCAAATGGATCTAGAAACAGCTCAGAGGCAGATCTAGAAACAGCTCAGAAGCTAATCTAGAAGAGAGGTTAGCTCAAAGAACAGTCATATTTTTTCCTTTGAAAAGCTCTTAACACTTTAAAAAGATTACATTTGATTGTAATAAACTTTTCATAGAAATTTTGAAAAATGAAATGTCTCAAAATTGTAAAATGCAGATGCCACTGATATCAGGCATTGAATCCTGAGCTTTGGAGATCTTGCAACTAAGTGACAAAGGTTCACCGTCAAAGAACGTTTAATTCTCAAAATTCTTATGACAACTTGGGGTTGGACATTTTCAATCAAATCCATTTGAAGAAATAAAGAGATTTTCTAAAATCTATGTGATAGGCAGAATGCTAGGTAGTAGAGTATATATCTTTCTAGTGCTGTGTCTCATTGTGAGTTCCTGAATGAAAAAATATATATATATATTTCTTTCTAGGACTTGAAATATATTAGATAGTGGGAGCCCATTTCTTAAAATAACCAACCAAACAAAAAAAAAATCTATACCAGATGTAACAATTGTTAGGAGGATTAAATGATGTAACTTTTCCTATTTCATTTTAAATGTGCTATTATTATAGAATCAACACCATCATAGAATTATTTTGTGTATCAGAATCACTCTGCTAACTAATTTTTGCCTCTTTTTTTTCTTTTTAAATCTGTGCATTTGTTGAAAGGTCAATCAGTATCATTTTCACTGAGTTTCTTCTGCACAAAGACTATTCCTTCATCATTTCTGTCCATTTCTTCACCCTTGACCAAAGGCATCTAACATATAGGTTCTAAGTAAATACTTATTTAACGGGATATCTACATAATTGATTTCAGTTCTATATAGACAAAAACTTAATGGCTAAGTTACATGAGTTAATGCATCTGATTTTGAAGTAACTGCATCTGATATTGTAGTTTGTTTCATTTATTAATCCCTAAGCTGTAGGAAAAGGTTAAAAATCACTTAAACCAAGATCTTTTTGATTTTGCTGTAATTTATTTTGAGAACTGACTGAAACTAATTTTTAGGAAATTTTTTTTTTCCACAAGGAACAGTCTCAGGGCTGGAAGGGCCCTTAATCCCTCACTGATGGTCACATCCCCTGCTTCATGGCAGTAGGAATCAGAGGAAAACAGGGGTTACTTTCTTCAAAGTTTCTCTAGCTTTCTTGCTCCTACAGTTTTCCTGGTCCTCCATAAGATATAGCTTAATCCCCAGTGCTGCCAATCTTAATGCCTGGCTTAACTTGCTCCAAATATTGGATGGTAGTTTTGGAATTTAAAATAAAATGTGAATAGATGAAAGCAATTCACTTATATTTTAAAACTTACTGTCTCTGGCTTGAAAATCAAAAGCATCGTGTTACTTACCACTTCTAATACACATTGTTAATGTAATCTAAGAAAAACCTCTATCATTTAGCCTCCCCATTAAGGTTTCTCCATAGAGGGAAGGAGGAGAAAAATCGTAAGAAAAAACTTGAATGCACACACCATATTCTCCTCTCAACAACTCCCACCAACCTATTTTCATTTTTATTTTCTTTGAAGACATAGATAATAATTTTTATATCTGATTAATAAATGGAAAATTTCATCATTTTAATTTCACTAGTTCCAAATTGTATTGATTAATTCATCACTTATCAAATAAGAAGGAAGGGAATCATATACGTGTGGAGATACTCTTAGGATTAAGGATGATACTGCGAGAACATATAAAACCTGTGTTCAATCCTTCCAAGTCATACCTGCATTAAATACTTTATTTATAATAAAACTAAACATTTTTTGGTGGAGAGTATAATGATTCTTTCAATGTCATTTGTTTCCCCCAAGCATTTTTTTCTGTCTTCACTAACCACTTGTATGCAAATTTTATCCTACAAAACATTTCTAAACTTTTCCGTTTTTTACCTCTCATATGTTGAAACCCTCAATTTTTTTGAAAGTAGTTCTCTTTTAGGTTCAGTGGTACATGTGCAAATATGTTATGTAGGTAAACTCTAATTCATTCCAGTAGCTGCTCTAAAGAGTTAGCATCCTGTGTCTCTTCTTCACTATTTTCCTCTATTTCCTGGGAGGTAGCATTGCCAATAACTTCAATGAGAAAACATAGGTAATTATATGTTAAGCCCCTCAGTTTCCTACCTGTATATAAACGAAATGATCTCTAACATGATTTAATTCCACCCACTCTAGGGTTTCAAAGGCAGAGAAAGAGCTCTTTTTTCCTTTCCAAGTCAGTGACCAACCCTATACTCAACCTTGCTCTATCGCAAAGGGCATCTTTGCCACAGTATGCACTTGCTCTCTCTCTCTCTTTCATAATAGTGCACATTTTATGTGTGTGTGTGTGTCTGTATATGTGTGTGTATAAAATCAACACAAACTCCATGTCTAAAAATTCTAATAATGTTGATTTACTGAGATTACTCTTAATGAACCAGATTGTTTCACTATGCTCTGTTGATAGATGATAGATTAGAGATAGATAGATGATAGATAGATAGATAGATAGATAGATAGATAGATAGATAGATAGAGATAATCTTAAGACTCATCCATTTTAAAGAAAAAGAAAAGTCTTCACTCCACACTTAGGACTTACTTATAATGTCCCTTCTCTTTACAGCCATGCTTTATGAGCAGAATAGGGTATCATTCTGTGCCCTGGCACATTTGGTTCAATTCTTGAACCATGTTAATCATTCTTGCTTCATGAGTCCTCACAAACAGCTCCAGCAAATCCACAAATAACTATCACAACGGTAAATTCAATGCACTCTTTCTATTTTGTTTTTATTTTAAATTTTGTTTCTCAAATATATGACACTATTATACAGTTCTTTCTTCTAAAACAGCTGACTTCCATTGGCTCTATGCCACTTAGTTCTGGTTTTCTATTTCCTCTCTGAATATTTTTTCTTAGTCTCGTTATCTGGGTCTTCTTTTAACATTTATTGAAATTTGATGGTTTCCAAAAATTTGTCCTGACACTTTCTTTCTGTACTTTTGTTTACTCAAAAATATTCCTGTGCCTTTTAAAGAAGACAGATTAACTATTTTCCTACACAATAGAAAATAATAGTCTGCTGTTTCGAGCACTACCATAGGTCTTCTGGGTTGCAGGTCCCCTGGGTTGCAGGTCCTCATATCCTGCTTCACGGTTGGCACATCACTGTCCCTGAATGGGTCTTTCCCATAAGGACTCATCTCTTCTCCCAGACATCTCCCTGTCACTGTGACCTATTTCAAAGAATGGCACAACTTTGCTTTAATCTGTATATCCAATCAAACACCAAAATTTTATTTGCTTACTATCTGTTGTAGTTATTACATCTTGCTGTCACACGTACAGATTAGTTCAAACCTTCATTATCTCTGGCAATATTTTATTCTTCAGTTTTATGTATTTCTAATCCAACTTCAATGCTGTTGCCAGGACAAATGGTGATGCAGATCACATCTTGTAACATTAATTTAGCTTTTAGCTCTTTATTGACTTGATTATGCAATGATGCCCAAAAAGCTTAGGATGGCAAACAATATCTTTACAATGCTTCCTGACTGCCATTCCAGTATTATCTATCATTGTGACTTCTCTAACCCCATGCCAATCTCCATGTCTAATAATGGCGACTGACTTAATTACTCTTAATAAATCAATCAGGTTGTATCACCATGCTGTGTTTCTTTTCTTAAATCACACTATCCCTCCTGTCTGGAAGTCCTCCCATTAGAATTGCCCCTCATGGCTGAGCACGGTTGCTCACACCTGTAATCCCAGCACTTTGGGAGGCTGAGGTGGGCAGATCACCTGAGGTCAGGAGTTCAAAACCAGCCTGGCCAAAATGGCGAAACCCCATCTCTACTAAAAATACAAAAATTAGCCGGGCACGGTGGTGGGCACCTGTAATCCCAGCTACTAGGGAGGCTGAGGCAGGAGAATTGTTTGAACCCAGGAGGCGGAGGTTACAGTGAGCCAAGGTCGCGCCACTGCACTCCAGCCTGGGTGACAGAGCGAGACTCGTCTCAAAAAAAAAAAAAAAAAAGAAAAAAAAAAGAAAAAAAAAGAAAAAAAATCTCCCCTCATTTGTTTGGCAAATACTTAACTATCTTTTAACACAGCTACATTGTCTCTTTCCATTTATAATTCACCTGAGTTTAACTGTCGACCCAAGAAGAATTGTCACTCTTTGGAGCCCAGATTGCATTCATTTAAGATTCCTTATAATTTATACTAACTTTTTTATGCTTTATATACTTTTTTATAATTTATACTACCTTATTTGCATAGATATCGCAGCTTATTTAAACTGTTCTTAGTTAAGGAGTGAGAAATTATGTATCTTATTTAGAGTTATAACTTTGAAGACTCGCATAGTCGCTGGCACTAAGCAGGTGCTACATAAATGTTGGATAAATTCCATAAAATTTGAAGAAGTTTTACTCACCAGAGTGGATCTCTCGGTAGAAACAAATCTCAATTGATCCTGAGACTGAGCATCTTTGTTCTAGAATCAAGCTGGTGTTTCAGTCAGTGAAATTTCCATGTAAGGAAAGGACTGAAACGCTTTTATATAGGACCAAACAGGATGTAACTGCCCAGGGACATTTAAATTTCCTATTAACTAAGGGGTATTTGAAATGAAGCCAGTGCTGTCCAGGCACTGGGGACAAAAATCCTGTGCAGGAAAGTTGGTGTTTCAGATAAAAACTATGAGTTCAAAGCAGGGGATTTCATGGACCTCTCCCTCAGGGAATTGCCTCAGTGGGAAGTAGTTAATTATTATCTTGGTTTAGCTAACTCTTGTAGTCGATGCATTTCAGGTTAAAAAAATGAATATTATACATAACTCGTTTTCTGTAACACAGGTTCACAGGTTTTTCTAGTAAAAAGGATTTTTTTCATTAATTAACAGTTTCATTTTAACTGGTCACCAATAAAATCATGCATGATTGCACTGGCCTTATGTAAAAAAAAAAAGGAATACTTAGTAATTATTTACATAAACCCAGACATAATAGTAGAATCAAAGAATCTCAGAATAAAACCATGACTTAGAGAGCTAAACTTTCTTCAAACATGTTGTCTTTTCTAAAATTACTCTGAAACTGATAATCCAGCCCTCATTTTAACAATCCCCCAGATGAATAATTTTTACTCAAAAGTGAATGAATTCCATTCTTAAATATGTGTGATTATGGAAAAGGCATTTTTTAAAATTATACTTTAAATTTTAGGATACATGTGCACAACGTGCAGGTTTGTTACATATGTATACATGTGCCATGTTGGTGTGCTGCACCCATTAACTAGTCATTTAGCATTAGGTATATCTCCTAATGCTATCCCTCCCCACTCCCCCCACCCCACAACAGGCCCCAGAGTGTGATGTTCCCCTTCCTGTGTCCATGTGATCTCATTGTTCAATTCCCACCTATGAGTGAGAACATGCGATGTTTGGGTTTTTGTCCTTTGTGATAGTTTGCTGAGAATGATGGTTTCCAGCTTCATCCATATCCCTACAAAGGACATGAACTCATCATTTTTTTATGGCTGCATAGTATTCCATGGTGTATATGTGCCACATTTTCTTAATCCAGTCTATCATTGTTGGACATTTGGGTTGGTTCCAAGTCTTTGCTATTGTGAATAGCGCCACAATAAACATATGTGTGCATGTGTCTTTCTAGCAGCATGATTTATAATCCTTTGGGTATATACCCAGTAATGGGATGGCTGGGTCAAATGGTATTTCTAGTTCTAGATCCCTGAGGAGTTGCCACACTGACTTCCACAATGGTTGAACTAGTTTACAGTCCCACCAACAGTGTAAAAGTGTTCCTGTTTCTCCGTATCCTCTCCAGCACCTGTTATTTCCTGACTTTTTAATGATTGCCATTCTAACTGGTGTGAGATGGTATCTCATTGTGGTTTTGATTTGCATTTCTCTGATGGCCAGTGATGATGAGCATTTTTTCATGTGTTTTTTGGCTCCATAAATGTCTTCTTTTGAGAAGTGTCTGTTCATATCCTTTGCCCACTTTTTGATGGGGTTGTTTTTTTCTTGTAAATTTGTTTGAGTTCATTGTAGATTCTGGATATTAGCCCTTTGTCAGATGAGTAGGTTGCAAAAATTTTCTCCCATTCTGTAGGTTGCCTGTTCACTCTGATGGTGGTTTCTTTTGCTGTGCAGAAGCTCTTTAGTTTAATTAGATTCCATTTATCAATTTTGGCTTTTGTTGCCATTGCTTTTGGTGTTTTAGACATGAAGTCCTTGCCCATGCCTATGTCCTGAATGGTATTGCCTAGGTTTTGTTCTAGGGTTTTTCTGGTTTTAGGTCTAACATTGAAGTCTTTAATCCATCTTGAATTAATTTTTGTATAAGGTGTAAGGAGGGGATCCAGTTTCAGCTTTCTACATATGGCTAGCCAGTTTTCCCAGCACCATTTATTAAATAGAGAATCCTTTCCCCATTGCTTGTTTTTGTCAGGTTTGTCAAAGATCAGATACTGGTAGATATGTGGCATTATTTCTGAGGCCTCTGTTCTGTTCCATTGGTCTATATCTGTTTTGGTACCAGTACCATGCTATTTTGGTTACTGTAGCCTTGTAGTATAGTTTGAAGTCAGGTAGTGTGATGCCTCCAGCTTTGTTCTTTTGGCTTAGGATTGACTTGGCAATGCAGGCTCTTTTTTGGTTCCATATGAACTTTAAAGTAGTTTTTTCCAACTCTGTGAAGAAAGTCATTGGTAGCTTGATGGGGATGGCATTGAATCTATAAATTACCTTGGGCAGTATGGCCATTTTCACGATATTGATTCTTCCTACCCATGAGCATGGAATGTTCTTCCATTTGTTTGTATCCTCTTTTATTTCATTGAGCAGTGGTTTGTAGTTCTCCTTGAAGAGGTCCTTCACATCCCTTGTAAGTTGGATTCCTAGGTTTTTATTCTCTTTGAAGCAATTGTGAATGGGAGTTCACTCATGATTTGGCTCTCTGTCTGTTATCGGTGTATAAGAATGCTTGTGATTTTTGCACATTGATTTTTTATCCTCAGACTTTGCTGAAGTTGCCTATCAGCTTAAGGAGATTTTGGGCTGAGACGATGGGGTTTTCTAGATATACAATCATATCATCTGCAAAGAGGGACAATTTGACTTCCTCTTTTCCTAATTGAATGCCTTGGAAAAGGCATTTTTGAAATCATGATAAGGACACTTAACATAAAATCTACCTTCTTAGCATTGAAAGAAAATTTTTTAAAACTTTTAATATCAAAAATTTAATATATTGTATATTCTACTTGGCAAATGTTTAAAAATAGCTCTAAGTTCCCGTGTGTGTGTGTGTATATATATATATATAATGTATATGATTTATATTATGTGTATTATATATATGAATTATATATATAAATATAAGAAACTGAATTGTAAATGTTGCAGACCAATAAACTTTATTTTGATCTCCAGTGACAAATATAGTACCACATTAAGTACCACAATATGGTGTCTCAGTAAGGATCACACGTTTTCATAAGGCTGTTTATGAACAATAAGAGACAATTAATGAATGATTAAAAAATACTCAGGTTTTTTTCATTTTGAGGAAAGAATTTTCTATTTTAACATTGACTTTGATTGTGATCTGATCAATGTTTTTGTAAAAGCTTTGGATACAGATGGTAGGTGGATTCAATATTATACATGGTGGTTAGTAGACAAATAATCCAAAAATTTCAACATACAACAATAATGGATAATTTAGAGAAAACTGTGGGATAGTTCAAATAGGATAAACTTTAATAAAATACTTTCCAAGATAAAGGCACATTAAAATTTGAGAGATGTGTGTTTTTCTTTTTTTTTAAGATTGATTAAATCTAATCAATACATGCTAAGAGCATCCAATGACAAAGAAATCAGTTACAAAAAGACCCTATAGTAATATTTCAATTGATGAGTAATATTTTCACTTTACTCTCTTCATCAGACCGAAACTGAATGAATCATTTCAGAATTAAATACATTAAGAAAATTGTAGACAAATGGATGTGTTAGCAAACAAAAGCAATTGTCATTCATTCCAATTACTAGAAAGCTCAGGGTGACCTATATTTTCAAATATTAAAAATGTTTGTCTTTTAAAAATAAATTTAAATTTATCTATGTTCCTAGAATCAATCTAGTAATAATGGTTATTAGTTATATTCAGATAGTTGTTTTCTCAGCATAAACAATAATTTTCAAAACCTGTTCCTGATGATACAGTAACTACAGACTGATATTAAGAAATATTTATTTATTTATTTTTTAAAGGAAGGGTTTGAATCCCTTACAAAAGTTTTGTGGAGACCTTTTTGAATTCAGTGAAAAAATCTAATTTTGATATTGTAAAATTCTTTTTCTTTTTTTTTCATCTACACTTTCAATTTCCAACTCCTGTGTCTATGCCTTTAATATTCTGACTCATAATTCATGCCATGAGGATGTTTTTCCACAACTCCTCTAGGATAAAAGAAAGCCTACATTAATTTATGTTAGTAATAATAACATTGGACAGTCTGAAACTGCTTGTGGCTTATATAAAAGGGGTTTTCCACTAGAAGTTTAACTCAGGCAGGGCGAGGTGGCTCATGCCTGCAATCCCAACACTTTGGGAGGCCAAGGCAGGCAGATCACTAGAGCACATGAGTTCAAGACCAGCCTGGGCAACATGGTGAGACCCTGTCTCTACAAAAAATACAAAAATTAATTTATCTATTATTTTCTATTTTATTACTTTCAATTATTAAATATTTTCTTTATTATTTTCTGGCTTCTACTGACATGGATTTATTTTTCTTTTTTTCCCTAGCTTTTTAAAATTTTCTATCCAGACCACAAAAAATTTTCTCCATATCAGCAATAAGACTGTTTTGCTATCTTATTTATGTGTTTACTGGAGTAGCGCATTTTAATTTTTTTCAATAACTTTTCTTTACATTCACAACTTGGCTAACTGGTGCAAAAGCCCTAGCTTCTGGCCTGTCTTGGCTTTTGATAGGCCTTCTTCACTAAGCTTAATCATTTCTAGCTTTTGATTTAAATAAGAGACATGTGACTCTTCCTTTCACTTGAATACTTAAAGGCCATTGTAGGATTATTAATTGGTCTCATTTCAATATTGTTGTGTCTTAGAAAATAGAGAGGCCTGAAGAGAGGGAGAGATGGTGGAACAGCCAGTGGGTGGAGCAATCAAAACATACATCATTTATCAATTAAGTTCACTGACTTACATGGGCAGTTTGTGGTTCCCTAAAACAATTACAATAGTAACATCAAAGATCACTGATCACACGTCACCATAACTTTCACCCGCGTCCGTGTGAAGAGATCACCAAACAGGCTTTGTGTGAGCAATAAAGCTTTTTAATCACCTGGGTGCAGGCGGGCTGAGTCCGAAAAGAGAGTCAGCTAAGGGAGATAGGGGTGGGGCCATATTATAAGATTTGGGTAGGTAAAGGAAAATTAGTCAAAGGGGGGTTGTTCTCTAGCGGGCAGGAGTGGGGGTCACAAGGTGCTCAGTGGGGGAGGTTTTTTGAGCCAGGATGAGCCAGGAAAAGGAATTTCACAAGGTAATGTCATCAGTTAAGGCAAGGACCGGCCATTTTCACTTCTTTTGTGGTGGAATGTCATCAGTTAAGGCAGGAACAGGCCATTTTCACTTATTTTGTGATTCTTCAGTTACTTCAGGCCATCTGGGCATATACATGCAGGTCACAGGGGATGCGATGGCTTAGCTTGGGCTCAGAGGCCTGACAATAACGATACAATAATAACGAAAAAGTTTGAAATATTGTGAGAATTACCAAAACGTCACATAGAGATATGAAGGGAGCACATGCCGTTGGAAAAATGATACTGATAGATTTGCTCATTGCAAGGTTGCCACAAACCTTCAGGTGCAATAAAGTGAAGCACAATAAAATGAGACAGGCCTATATTTGGTCGAACATCATTCTGGGTGTGTTTGGAGAGGTGGCTCCTCTCTGCAGGCAGGTCCCCATTGACTTCCCAGCTCTCAGCAGAGAGGATAGCTACTCTCTGCAGCTGGTCATCTCGTCATCTCTCAGTTGTCCTCTACCATGCTATTGCTGATCCTGGGGCTTTTATGGACCTCAGAGGGGAGGAAGTGCATATGGAGTGGTCCATCCGTGGCCATGGGTGGGCAGAAAAAGGCACCACAAGACCCCACTCCAGTCCACCGGTGTGGCAGCCTGACCCCCAGCCTTCAGGCTCTTCCTGGCCTGAGGATGGGGCCTTACAGGGACCCACTCCCTTCCACCTAGGAGCCCGTCTGCCTCCTGACGCCTTTCATGGTGCCAAGGGGCACCTGCAGGCCAACGCTTTGCCCGCATCCACTCTTGTCTGGCCCAACATCCAGAGGGGGCTGAGGTGGCAGGGCTCGATCATGCATATACCTGGCAGGGTTGTGACAGTGCCTGGGCTCAGCTCCACCTACTCCTAGATTGGATCAGTTGCAGAGAGTGGGAAGAGACCAGGCAGTAGGAGCAGGCACCTCTGAGCCTGCAATGGCAAAGGGGGCCTTCCCTGGCTCTCAAGAGCACACGGAGGCCCACATCTACTGTCTCCATTTGGACAGCTGCAGCTGTGCCTGGGGGTGTGGGGCTCCTGCCTGCTCCCAGCCCTCAAGAGCACATGGAGGCCCAAGTCTACAACCCTGACGTGGGTGGCTGCAGCCGCGCCCAGGGTGGGCAGAGCTCCTGCCTGCTCCCAGCACACAGGAGCCCCGGGTATACTGCACCGACTTTGGCGGCTGCAGCTGTGCCTAGTCGGGCAGGGGCTTTCAGGGAGGCCCTGGATAGAGCAGAACGCAGGCCCTGGGTCTGGCTGTCGGGAGTGGCAGGCTCCGAGGTCACCCTAACGCCTCGGGTGACCTGTATAGAGCAGACCCCAGGGGACTGGCCCTGGGAGGCCTGCACAGAGCCTCCTCCCAAGGCCCAGGAACTCCAGCATGCCAACTGCAGATCATGGGACTTCTCAATGTTTAGTGTACTATGAATTACATTCAGTGCTTTTAGGTATTATGTATATTTAAACGTTGTGGTTTTCATCTCTAGAAGTTTGATTTTTTAAAGTATCTTCCTCGTCTCTAAATTTTTGAACATATGGTAAACAGTATAATTGTTTTAATGCCATAACTTGAATCATTCTAACATATGTGTCAGTTCTGAGTCAGGTTTGATTTATTGATTTTTCTCCTTACATCATATTTTCCTGCTTTTTTTCATGCTTAGTAAATTTTCATTGGAAAATTTTCTTTTACTGGGTATATCTGTAATCCTATAAATACCCTTGAGTTTATTCTGGAGTGTTACTAAGTTACTTGGATACAGTTTGATACTTTAGTCACTTGTTTTGAAGATTTGTTAGGTAAAACCAGAACAGTGTTTAGTTTAGAGCTAATTATTGAAATTCTTGAAGCAAGACACTTTTGATTGCTAAACTCAATGCCTCAGGAATTCTTAGGTTTTCATTCTGGCACATAAATAGCTTGAGAACCCACAAAATTCCCAGCCTTTGCATAAGCATTGGGCACTATTTACCTTAATCCATTAAGTGGTTCTTTCCTCATTCTTGGATAGCTTCCTCACACACATGCAAATCAGCGCTCAGCTAAACTCAAGCAGGGCCCTCTCTCTGTGTATTAGTCCATTTTCATACTGCTATAAGGAAATACCCAAGACTGGGTAATTTGTAAAGAAAAGAGGTTTAATTGACTCACAGTTCCACATGGCTGGGGAGGCCTCAAGAAACTTACAATCATGGTGGAAGGTGAAGAGGAAGCACTGACCTTCTTCACATGGTGGCAGGAGAGAGAAGTGCAAGCAGGGGAAATGCCAGAGGCTTGTAAAACCATCAGATCTCATGAAAAGTAACTCACTGTCACGAGACCAGAATAGGAGAAACCACCCCCACGATCCAGTCACCTCCCTCCCTCAACATATGGGGATTACAATCGAGATGAGATTTGGATGGGGACACAGAGCCAAATCACATCATTCTGCAAGTCGTGAAAGATTTTTCTATGTTTAGCATTATCTTTTCTGACACTTTTTATGACAAATTCTGCCTTAGTCTGGATGCTCAGTTCTGCCTTTTTTATTTCTCAGTTTTTTTCAAAAGTTGTATTCCTTGATGTAAAGGTAAATGTCTAATTTTATTTCAGTGACTTGTACATAGTTGCCATCAATAAATATTTACCAAATAAAGGAATGCATTTTCATCATAAGATAAACCTCATCATAGCAACAGCTCATTTAAATGTTGCTGTTTATGTTGTTTTATAAGATATAACAAATAAATATTTTTATTTAATAATTTACTAATATTATTTTTAAATCATGTTGGGTAGTTAATCCAAACCAACAATATATAACTGTGATGAGAGTCAGAAAATTTCTATTATTTCTAAAAGTGTTGGGAATTATCCACTTCTCCTAGAATAAATATGATAGTAGACTTTGTTCTGATATAAATATTTTTACCTTATTGAATATGTTTTCCTACTGCTCCTATAGCACAGGGCCTATTTCTATTTAATGGCTTGCCAATTATTTGCATAATTGATGTAATATTTAGTAACTTTTAATATTTAATAACTTTACTAATGTTTTGGTAATACTTTCAGGAATACTTAAAATATTTCCTTATTAAACTTGTTCAACATTGCCTTATTTTGATTTGCTTGCTTGATAGTACAGGTACTATAATTTATTTAATGATATATTTAAATATATAGCCTTCCAAAATCTCAGGCAGCATACATGCAGAAATATTATACCTTTATAAAGTCAAAAATTTAAAACTGTTTAAAGATAAAATTTTTCTCTGGCATATCTGTAATAATGAAAGTGAATCAAAATATATTTCTAGGGCTTGGGGGACATATCTTGAGCAGCCACCCACATCAGCAAAACATTTCTCCAAGCACCCATATTTTAATTTAAAAATACATGTGATTTTCTCAACATAATATATCCATGTTTATTCCAATGCAACACAGTAGTTTCAATGTTCAATTATTTTGAGTTCTATTTATACTTCTAAGTTAAACAAACAAACTCAAGAATATGTTAACATTTTTATTAAATGACCACAAAAACCCCCAACATTCAACCTCTGAGAAATATACTGCTTTAATAGAATAAATAAATACAATAAGCGTTTTTTTCATAATACATATTAGGATGTATTTTATTTCATGCCAATAGCAGACTCCATGTATAAATGAACCATGGGTTGGGAAAAATACTGTGATCAAAAAAATGCATAATGTCTAGGATCCTTTTCCAGATTATACTAGAATTAAGGAAATGAACTCACTTTCTCTTATATAGCCACAGGCCTTCAAAAGTGTTCCCAAAAACCTTTTATCTGTGTTCCAGCTTCTCATCTGTCTCACCACCGGGAGCCACAGAAAGTGGACATGCTCACAGTACAGGAAATAGAGCTTTGCACTGTTCTTTTAATGATGTGGATTTTTTGGTGAACTCACTCTATTTTGTCTTGGTTTCTTCGGCTCATAGGTTTGTGAGGCAGTTTATAGCAAAAGGCTATAAAAGTCTTTTTTTTCTAAATAAAGATAATAGATCAACCAAAGTTTTGAATTCCACATGGTATTCTCAAACCCCCACACTGAAATAGGACTAAATTACCCAGTCAAGTGGTGAAGAAAGCTGCCTTGTCAAAACATGTAAATTCCCACTGAGTTTGTGTCCCTAAATTAGAATTTTTTCCACCTCAGGTTTTTCCCCTGCTGATCACTATCCAAAGCATCTCACTGTTCATCTTTCCCCCCAGAGTAAGTTCTATTTGCATTGACCTAGGCCTCATTGTTGTGTACCACAAGAGCATAAGATTGACTAAGGCAAAACATTTATGGCAAAAAAAATTTGTATTTAAAAGAATTCATGGCAAAAAAAATATATTTAAAATCATCACCTCTAAATTTGTTCATTAATTTCTCTTTCCATAATTCCATCTTAATGTTTTTGAACTAATTGTCTCTTGATTTTACTTGCCTGTGAGACCTTACAAAAGCATTTGAGGGTGATATAATTGGACATCGAATGTTAGAAGATGGCTAAATGGTGGCAATACATGTTGATCAAAATTACCTCACGATAGTACTGGCATGTTTTTCTAAGAGTTGGGATCATTTCTAATTTAATTGGGATTCATTTATAAACAATTTATGCTAAATATATTTCCTAAACTTTCTCAGTATCTTTTTCTCTAGCTATTATACCATTTTCCCTTACTTTAACTAGATTAGCTAGTCATTAGGAATAGGGAGAAAAAAGACTGACTTGATGGAATCCAATACTGTAAAGCAGATAGTCTCGTAAGTGAAAAAATGCTATGTAGATTTTACCAAGAGTTAATTGTTTTTTTCTTAGTCTTGTTCCACTTGTAAACTTTGTGTCACTTGATACTGTTCCCTCATCAATTCCATGTCCAACATCTTTTTGAAAGTCAAACACATCTATCCTCGCTTCTTAGGACTTCTTTTCAGATATCATCTTGTCTTAATCCAAAACTCTTTAGTCAGTGACCTTCTCAGGGCAGCTTTCACATCCTTGTTTCTCAATGTGTAGATGAATGGGTTGAGGGTGGGTGTGACAATGCCATAAAAGAGAGCCATGATCTTCCCCCGGTCATGAGAATAGCTAGAGGGAGGCTGGACATACATACTGATGGCTGTGAAGTAGAAGAGGGAGACCACCAGCAAATGTGAGGCACAGGTATTGAAAGCCTTCCAGCGACTTTCAGCAGAGCAGATTCTCATTACTGCCTGAGCAATGAACACATAAGTGCCCAGGATGAGGGTGAGTGGCATCAGGAGAAGCAAAGCGCCTAGTACATTGAGCTCCATTTCATTCACACGAATATCAATACAGGCTAGTTTCAAAAGGGCTGGAACTTCACAGAAGAAATGGTCCAACACCCTCTGTCCACATCTTGGGGCCACCACTGTGAGAGTGGACTGGACAAGGGAGTTAGCAAAGCCACTGATCCAAGTGCCAGCAGCCATGTGGATACAGCGTCTATGGTTCATGATGACTGGGTAGTGAAGGGGCTTGCATATGGCAGCGTAACGGTCAAAGGCCATGATGGCTAGAAGTATGCATTCAGTAGAACCCAGGGCCAAAAATATATAGAGTTGGGCAACACAACCCCCATAGCTAATGGTCTTTTCTGGTCCCCGGAGGTTGACCAGCATCTGTGGGACAGTGCTGGTGGTATAGCAGAGGTCCAGAAAGGATAGATTAGAGACAAAAAAGTACATGGGACTGTCAAGCTGGGGATCCAGATGGGAAACTAGGATAATGGAGATATTTCCAAATAGGGAAAAGATGTAGGCCACCAGAAAGATTACAGAGGGGTGTCTCTAGCCAGGGACGGTCAGAAAATCCCAATAGGATAAAATCATCTAGCGAGCTTTGATTGTTGATCCACATGTTAGCACTGGGAGGTGAAATTCCAGCTGAGACCTCTAAATACCCACAGTTAGGGATAGACATCAACAGTAGGAGGAAGCCACTGAGAATTAGAGATCAGAGATGCCAAGATGAAATTTTCATTTTTGC